>NC_000024.10:2132994-2137388 GCF_000001405.40 Homo sapiens | reverse complement strand
TGATGATGATGATGGGAGAGGTTATGAAGATGGTGATCGTGATGATGATGATGGGAGAGGTTATGAAGATGGTGATCGTGATGATGATGATGGGAGAGGTTATGAAGATGGTGATCGTGATGATGATGATGGGGGAGGTAATGAAGATGGTGATGATGATGACGATGGTGAGGATGGTGATGATGATGATGGGAGAGGTAATAAAGATGGTGATCGTGATGATGATGGGGGAGGTAATGAAGATGGTGATGGTGATGATGATGATGGAGGTAATGAAGATGATGGTGATGATGATGGTGAGGATGGTGATGATGATGGTAGTGATAATGGAGATAATGGTGATGATGATGATGTTGGTAGTGATGATGATGATGATGGGAGAGGTAATGGAGATGATGGTGATGATGATGACAATGATGTTGATGGTGATAATGATGATACTTTCTGCTAAGCTCTGAGGCCCATCTGACTTGGAAAATAAAATCATGCATACTTTAGTTTTGGGCCATTCATACAAGATCTCCTTTGATTGGTCTTATTTCTATTTTTATTTTTTTTGGAGGCGGAGTTTTGCTCTTGTTGCCCAGGCTTAAGTGCAATGGCGCGATCTCAGCTCACTGCAACCTCCGCCTACTGGGTTCAACCGATTCTCCTACAGGCATGTACCACGACACCCAGGTAATTTTGTATTTTTAGTAGAAATGGGGTTTCTCCGTGTTGGTCAGGCTGGTCTCGAACTCCCAACCTCAGGTGATCTGCTTGCCTTGGCCTCCCAAAGTGCTGGGATGACAGGCGTGAGCCACCGCATCTGGCCTGGTTGGTCTTATTAAATAGGGTTTAAAAGTACACACTAGAGTCAGTTTTGGGCACCATGTAAAATGACCAGTGCTTGTCTTGTGGGGAGAATGAAACAAATTGGTTAATCATTTATCCACTCATTTTTGTTTGACCAGTGTTTAGTGTGCATATCTTCAGTGTGAGAAGCTAGGGATATACAAATAAATGAGCAGGCAAGGTAATAGTCTACCATGCAATTGTGCTTTTTGAATGAATGAAGCCCATGGTTTCTTGAAAAAAGCTGATCCTGATAACACTGTGAGGTCTACATTTTAATCTATGTTATGGCTGTGGTGCTCTCATTCTTGCTGAGTTATTTCCTGGTAACACACATGCATATGTGCACATGCATTGATATTTCACACTGGCTTGGATCAATTATCTATGCTTGAACCAGAGTTGTAAGGGCAAGTTAGACTATCCTGAAGCCAGTGTCCCAAAGTAGACGTAAAACCTGGCACAACAGTGGACTTCTAGGTATTTTTATGGGATTTCTCTTTCTGCCTTCAAACCACAGCAGTCACTGGCTTCAGGCTGACAGGAGGGGAAAACATTCAATATACCTCTCTTAAGCTCTTACTCTTGGCCCACAAGCACGCCAGATTCCCCTATCTTCCAAGAGTTTGCTCTGACGTTGTTTCCCATTTATATCAGCCCCTTCTCTGCCCAGCTGCTTTAATGAATATGCCCCCTGTTTGCTTCTAATCCCTTGCTTTATGTTTCCTCTGGCTGTTCTTTTTAAGCATTTCATTTAAGTAATAATATTTGTGATGGTTAATTTTATGTGTCCACTTGGCTGGGCCACTGTGCCCAGATGTGTGGGTGAACGTCATCCTGGATGTTTCTGTGAATGTGTTTTTGGATGGGGTTGATATCAGTGACTTTGAGTCAAGATGACCCTCTCTCCATAATGTGGGTGGGCCTTGTCTAATCAGTTGAAGACATGAAAAGAACAAAATCTGACCTCCACAGAGCAAGAGGAAATTCTGCCAGGAGACAGCCTTCAAATTATTTTTAAAAACAGTTAAACCAGCTGGGCGTGGTGGCGTGCGCCTGTAATCCCAGCACTTTGGGAGGCCGAGGTGGGTGGATCATGAGGTCAGGAGATCGAGACCATCCTGGCTAACACAGTGAAACCCCGTCTCTACTAAAATACAAAAAAATTAGCCAGGCGTGGTGGTGCCCACTTGTAGTCCCAGATACTTGGGAGGCTGAGGCAGGGGAATCGCTTGAACCCAGGAGGCAGAGGTTACAGTGAGCCGAGATCACGCCACTGCACTCCAGCATGGGCATCAGAGTGAGACTCTGTCTCACACACACACACAAAAATAGTTAAACCATGGACATATTACATATGAAACAAGACCAATTATGTTGATTACTTCATTCCTATTAATTTTTTAGATAAACTAACCATGCAGTTGGCCAACAAAGGGAATAGTTGGGATAGGGCATTTACTCACAGGAAGAAGGACTTCCTTCTTCCTTCCTTCATTCTTCCTTCCTTTCTTTCTCCTTCCTTCTTTTCTTCCTTCCTTTCTTCTTTCTTTCTTCCTTTCTTCCTTCCTTTCTCCTCCCTCCCTTCCTTCCTTCCTTTCTTCCCTCCTCTTTCTTTCTTTCTTTCTCTCTTTCTCTCTCTCTCTTTCTTTCTTTCTTTCTTCTCTTTCTTTTCTTTTGTTTGTAGATCTTGGTTCTTGTTATGACTGGCACAACTACGTAGGAACAATCTGAATGGGAGATAGCTTTTTGTGGGACACCACAAGGAAATTGTATATTCTATGACACAAGCTCACAACTCCCTGCTTTCCACTGCAAGCGGTGGCTCATTACTGGCTGGGACGTATCCTTGGATTAATGTATGCACGCCTCTCTTCCTTGTTTCAGAGAACCATAACACCCTGAGTGCAGAACCCCTGTAATTAGAGCTGTCGTTGTTGCCTCCCCACAGCAAGAAAGCTTTTGCAAGTTTAATCTCATCACTGAGAAAGCTTTTAGAGACTTCAAAGAAAGTATTTGATGCTGGGCTTTTCCTTCCACCCAGTGAAAAATGTGTCGAAGGAAACGTAACTAAGTTTTAAATATTCCCCTCCTTTTTTGTGTGTGTGCGGTTTTGTCATTTATTGTGTAGCATAAGTCTACAACTGTTTATTTATTTTGTTGTTTGGTAATTATATTATTCCATAAGCCTTTTCACAATCAATGAGCTATAAAGATGAAAGTGTATCCAATAAAAACTAAGCTTCCTTAAAAAAAAAAAAATCTGACCTACTAGGTTTGTCTCTTAAAGACTATCCTCTCTTTTATTTTACTTGTTACTGCTTACTTGGCGATTTCTTTTGGAGAAGGTCTAGACTTGGTCAGATTGGATTTTAGAAATTGTACCATTTGATACTCCTTCTTCTCCTCTTCCTCCTTCTCCTTTTCCTTCTACTCCCTCTCTTTTTTCATCTTTTCTTGTTCTCCTTCTTCATTTACTATTTCTCCTCCTCCCACTGTCTGTCCTTGTCCTCCTCCTCCCTCCTCCTTCTACCCTCTCCTCCCCCTCCTCTTCCTCCTCCTCCCCTCTCTTCCTCCTCCTCCCTTCTCCTTCTCCTCCTCCTCCTCCTGTCTCCTCCTCCCCTCCCTCCTCCTCCCCTCTCCCCTCCTCCTCCTGTCTCCCCTCCTTCTCTCTCCTCCTCCCCCTCTTCCTCCTTCTCTCCTTTCCTCCTCCTCCTCCCCCTCTTCCTCCTTCTCTCCTTTCCTCCTCCTCCTCCCCCTCTCCCTCCTTCTCTCCTTTCCTCCTCCTCCTCCCATCTCCTCCTCCCCTCCTCCTCCTCTCCTTTTCTCTTCCTCCTCCCTCTCCTCCTCCTCCTTCTACCCTCTCCTACCACTTCTCTTTTTACTCCTCCTCCTTCTCCCCCTCCTCCTTCTCCTCCTCTTTCTTCCTCCCCTCTCCTCCTCCCCTGTCTTATTCCTTCTTCTCTCCCTCCTTCTCTCCACCTCTTTCCTTTCCCTGCTCAGCCACACACACATACACCATAGCTTCTGGCTGTCTTCCCTTTCCTTCCAGGTTCCAGTAAACATCCACTGATTCAAGAGAGAGGCTAAACAAGAACAATTTCTTTGAGCAACTTGGCCAGATGCTGAATTCTTAGTGGCTGATTCCCCTGGGACTCAGGTCCTTCCCCTACCTTCTGCACCTATCTTTTCCTGAGAAAACAGTCAGTGACCAGGCTCTGCTCTGCACGGAGCCCTCAGATAATGTCTGCTAAACGTCTCCTTGAGGAGTGTGATGTTGCAGGTGAATTCAGCATCTGGGAGGGTGAAGCGCGTGTGTCATTAAAATGCAGCCACATGGTGGTGGACCCTGGACCAGGACTAAAATAGCTCCTCGCTCTGCCCACTTTTTTTATCCTTTCCCTGGTGTGTTCCGGCTGGCAGTCCTCACCATACGCTAATCAGCAGGTCAGTTACACTGATGTCCAAAAACCTGGGCTTTGAGCGATGTACATGCTATGTGTGCATATATATATATATATATATATATATATATATATATATATATACATACACAGACA
>NC_000024.10:222346-226276 GCF_000001405.40 Homo sapiens | reverse complement strand
GGATGGCGCCGAGGGAAGGAGCTGTCTGGTGTGGTCCGGAGGACAGGAACAGTGGATCTGGGGGTGGTCCTGATGGGAGGAGCGGGGGTCTGGGGGTGGTCCCGAGGGGAAGCGTGGGGGTCTGTGGGTGGTCCTTAGGGGAGGAGCGGGGGTCTGGGGGTGGTCCTGTGGGGAGGAGCAGGGGGTTCTGGGGGCGGTCCTGATGGGAGGAGCGGGGGTCTGGGGGTGATCCCGAGGGGAAGCGTGGGGGTCTGTGGGTGGTCCTTAGGGGAGGAGCGGGGGTCTGGGGATGATCCTGAGGGGAGGAGCTGGGGTCTGGGGATGGCGCCGAGGGAAGGAGCTGTCCGGTGTGGTCCGGAGGACAGGAACAGTGGATCTGGGGGCGGTCCCGTGGGGAGGAGCAGGGAGTCTGGGGGTGGTTTTCAGGGATGGAGCATGGGGCCTCCCTGTGGTCCAGAGGGTGGAGCAGGGAGTCTGGGGGTGGTACTTATGGGCGGGACAGCACTATTTCTCTTTTTGGTCCGGTTCCCATCTGCTGATCTGGGGGTCCTTGTGATCCTGACAGGTGGGGCAGAATGGGAGGGTCAAGGTGAGGGGAAGGGATATTGACAGGAGGTCAGAACTTCAAGATCCTCTTGAATTTCAAGAACTACTTCCAAGCCTGGACAATATCGAGAGGCCTCATCTCTACAAAATAAAAATTAAGAAATTCGCTGGGTGCAATGGCACACTCCTGTAGTCCCACCTACTCTGGAGGCTGAGGAGGGAAGATAACTTGAGCCTGGGAGTCCGAGGCTGCAGTCAGCTGTGATCATGCCACTGCACTCCAGCCTGGGTGACAGAGCAAGACCCTGAAAAAAAAAAGGGAGGGAGGGAAGGAGGGAGGGAGGGAGGAAGGAAGGGAAGGGAGGGAGGAAGGAAGGAATGAAGGAAGAAAATGGCTTAAGCTCAGAGAGCTGTATGTGGCCCCCAGCTCCCACCCCCACCAGAGGGCCTGCAAACCCACGGAGGGGCAGGTTGTCTTGAGCTGGAACCACAGGGGCGGGGGGACCTCAACTGTAGGGGTTAGGGTTAGGGTTAGGCTTTGAGGTTTCGGGTTACAGAATATAGATGGGTTTGGTCCTGGGAAAATTCCAGGTTGAGTTTTGTAGTTGGGGGTTGGTCTCAGGTGAGATACGGCAGGTTTACTTGGGCCTGAAGAGCCGAGCTCCCCGAAAACGAAATTCCTGGCCCTTTTAAGGGTTTACGACTCTAAGGGGTTCACGTGAAAGGGTCGTGATAGATCGAGGAAGCATCGGAACGTGACTGGGGGCTACACGCATCAGATAACAGAACAGAAAGTTTTGCAGGGCTTCCTCATACAGTGTCTGGAATTTACAGATAACACAAGTAGTTTAGGTCAGGGGTTAATATTATTATTATTATTATTTTAACCACCAGTGCCGGGTGGTGCTGCCAAGGTCGTCTAGCTATTTATCTTACTTCTGTTTTTTTTATCTTTTTGCTTTCTCCCTTTTTCCCTGTTTCATAAACTAGAGAAGGGGGTGTGGGGAAGGGAAGGGCAGCAGAAGTGGCGGTCTCCTCCCTTAGGATTACAGGCACCCTGCGTTAACCTCAAAATTGTCTCAGTCCCAAAGAAGGGGCTAGATTTTCTTTTATACTTTTGTTTAGAAAGGGGAGTGGCGGTCTAGTTAAAAGAATTTTACATAAGTAAATCAGGCAAAATGTTAAAAGGATAAATGGTTACAGGAAAGTAAACAGTTCCAGGTGCAGGTGCTTTAAGACTATTACAAGGTGATAGACGCGGGTAATTGGGCGTTATCAATCGGACGAATTCCTGGGGACTGCGGATGTAGCTCGCCACAGTAGGTTGTCAGTTAATTGCATTCTCGGATGTCCTGGGAGTCAGCTTGCACGAGTTAAGTCTTTGAGGAAGGGGCTGCCAGTGAAAGAGCCAAGATGGAGTCTGTCCGGTTCTCTCAGTTAAGGGAGAGTCCTTTCAGGTGGAAAGAAGGCTAGGTGATTGAAGGAAAGGGAGAGTCTAAAAACAGGGTTAGCAAAAATGAGGTTGGGCATTACAGTTGTACCCTCCATCGCCTCTTCCAATCTCAAGCAATTCCATAACTTGGAAAACCTCAGGCAAGGACTTCCTGGAATATGTCCACTGTAACGACCAGGTTTTCCAGTGTGTTATCTACACCCTGTAACGCTGTTAGGTACATAATGTTTCAGCAATCTTTGTTCTTCACCAGCACTCTGAGTACATGAAAAAGGCCAAGATGCTTCTTCAGGGATGAATTTTGCTACTTTTTAAAGGAGACTTAAGAGGCACTTTTGGCACTCTAAGTCTTTCTTCAAATGATGAAATTTGTTACCTATTTAACTCATTGCTGTGACGCGTTTTCCAATTCTATGTTCCCTTGGTTTTTGTTGTATTTTTTTCTGCATGAACTCTACATCATTTACTCACTCTGAACGACAGAATAAAAGAAATTGGCCACCATATCATACTCGGAAGGACAATCATGGCCATGAGACACAAAGGACTCCCAGCCCTGGGCCCAGGCCCCCCTCACGCATGCAGCCATCGCGGCACTGTGCCTGAGTGGGCCATATGCATGGTGGGGACCCGATGCTGGGAGACACAGCTCAGGGCACAGGGGCCCCAAGAAGCCATAGCTGGGGAAAGCTCATTCCCGACAGGGCTCAGCTCCAACCTGAAACTAGAGTCCCACCCTGGGGTTTCCATGGTGGTGGTAAACCAACCACAGATTTTGGGGATATGACTGCTCCCTTTGCCACGATAGCTTCTTCCACGTGCCCCTGGCCTGATGACCAGACCACTAGAGAGGGGAGGCCCGAGTCCCAGGGATGGGTGGGTTGCAGGCAGAGCTGGGGCTGGATGGACGGTGAGTGGTGAGAGCTCAAGGTGCAGAAGGGGCTCCTGTCGGGGACTGGGTTAACAGGGACCGGGACAAATAGACGGGGACTCCCGAGATGAGAAAGACCTTTTCGTACAAAGTGTTTGCATCAGTACCTCACAATGAAAAGAATAAGATAAATAACAGTACAAAAAAGCAATCACCAGATCAGCTCAAGGCACTCTTTGAAGTCCCCCCTGTGTAGGGAAGTTGGAAGACATATCTGTGTGGCCCATAGAGAGTAGAT
Organism: Homo sapiens; assembly: GCF_000001405.40. NCBI lineage: Eukaryota > Metazoa > Chordata > Mammalia > Primates > Hominidae > Homo > Homo sapiens. Next base: position 223,108 of record NC_000024.10, on the reverse strand, counting down.
CCCAAAGACAGAAGGCCCAAGTCCCTAAATCCCCACAGGGGAACTGTGTTACAGACCAGGAGCTCATGTACAGGGCTGTCCCAGGGCCCCTAAATTCCAGAAGGGAACTGGGTTAGAGWCCAGGGGCTSATGYAACGGGCTGTCCCTGGTCCCCTAAATCCCCACAGGGGAACTGGGTTAGAGATGAGGAGCTCATTTTCCGGGCTGTCCAGGTCCCCTAAATCCCAGATGGGAACTGGGTTATCRACCAGGTGCTCTTCTAGGGGTTGTCTCAGGGTCCTAGTGTGTCTGGAATTGGTGGGTTCTTGGTCTCACTGACTTCAAGAATGAAGACGCGGAACCTCGCGGTGAGTGTTACAGTTCTTAAAGGTGGCGCGTCCGGAGTTTGTTTCTTCTGATGTTCAGATGTGTTCTGAGTTTCTTCTTTCTGGTGGGGTTGTGGTCTCACTGGCTCAGGAGTGAAGCTGCAGACCTTTGCGGTGAGTGTCACAGCTCATAAAGGCAGTGTGGACCCAAAGAGTGAGCARTAGCAAGATTTATTGCAAAGAGTGAAAGAACGAAGCTTCCACAGTATGGAAAGGGACCCCATTGGGTTGCCACTGCTGGCTCAGGCAGTCTGCTTTTATTCTCTAATCTGCTCCCACCCACATCCTGCTGATAGGTCCACTTTCAGAGGGTTAGGGTTAGGGTTAGGGTTAGGGTTAGGGTTAGGGTTAGGGTTAGGGTTAGGGTTAGGGTTAGGGTTAGGGTTAGGGTTAGGGT
>NC_000024.10:94821-133871 GCF_000001405.40 Homo sapiens | reverse complement strand
CCTTTAGAGTCTGCATTAGGCCTATGTCTCATTGAGGACAGTTAGAGAGCAGACTGTGCTACCTTTAGAGTCTGCATTTGGCCTAGGTCTCATTGAGTACAGAAAGAGACCAGAGTGTGCAACCTTTAGAGTCTGCATTGGGCCTGGGTCTCATTGAGGACAGATAGAGAGGAGACTGTAGAACCTTTATAGTCTGCATTGGGCCTAGGTCTCATTGAGGTCAGATAGGGAGCAGACTGGGCAAGCTTTAGAGTCTGCACTTGGCCTAGGTCTCATTGAGGACAGATAGAGAACAGACTGTGCAACCTTTAGAGTCTGCATTGGGCCTAGGTCTCATTGAGGGCAGTTAGAGAGCAGACTGTGCAACCTTTAGAGTCTGCATTGGGCCTAGGTCTCATTGAGAGCAGATAGAGAGCACACTGTGCAACCTCTAGAGTCGGCATTGGGCCTAGGTCTCATTGAGGACAGATAGAGACCAGACTGTGCAAACTTTAGAGTCTGCATTGGGCCTAGGTCTCATTGAGGACAGATACAGGGCAGACTGTGCAACCTTTAGAGTCTGCATTGGGCCTAGGTCTCATTGAGGTCAGATAGAGAGCAGACTGTGCAACCTTTAGAGTCTGCACTGGGCCTAGGTCTCATTGAGGGCAGATAGAGACCATACTGTGCAACCTTTAGAGTCTGCATTGGGTCTAGGTCTCACTGAGGAGAGATAGAGAGCAGACTTTGCAAACTTTAGAGTCTGCATTAGGTCTAGGTCTCACTGAGGACTGATAGAGAGCAGATTATGCAACCTTTAGAGTCTGCACTGGCCCTAGGTCTCATTGAGGACAGATAGAGAGCAGACTGCGCAAACTTTAGAGTCTGCATTGGGCCTAGGTCTCATTGAGGACAGATAGAGAGCACACTGTGTAACCTTTAGAGTCTGCATAGGGCCTCGGTCTCATTGAGGACCGATAGAGAGCAGACTGTGCCACCTTTAGAGTCTGCATTGGGCCTGGGTCTCATTGAGGAGAAATAGAGAGCAGACTGTGCAACCTTTAGAGTCTGCATTGGGCCTAGGTCTCATTGAGGACAGATGGAGAGCAGACTGTGCAACCTTTAGAGTCTGCATTGGGCCTAGGTCTCATTGAGGGCACATAGAGAGCAGACTGTGCAACCTTTAGAGTCTGCATTGGGCCTAGGTCTCATTGAGAGAAGATAGAGAGCATACAGTGCAACCTTTAGAGTCGGCATTGGGCCTAGGTCTCATTGAGGGCACATAGAGAGCAGACTGTGCAACCTTTAGAGTCTGCATTGGGCCTAGGTCTCATTGAGAGAAGATAGAGAGCATACAGTGCAACCTTTAGAGTCGGCATTGGGCCTAGGTCTCATTGAGGACAGATAGAGACCAGACTGTGAAACCTTTAGAGTCTGCATTGGGCCTAGGTCTCATTGAGGACAGATAGAGAGCAGAGTAGGCAACCATTAGAGTCGGCACTGGTCCTAGGTCTCATTGAGGACAGATATAGAGCAGACTGTGCAACCTTTAGAGTCTGCATTGGGCCTGGGTCTCATTGAGGACAGATAGAGAGCAGACTGTGCAACCTTTAGAGGCTGCACTGGGCCTAGGTCTCATTGAGGACAGATAGAGGGCAGACTGTGCAACCTTTAGAGTCTGCATTGGGCCTAGGTCTCATTGAGGACCGATAGAGAGCAGACTGTGCAACCTTTAGAGTCTGCACTGGGCCTAGGTCTCATTGAGGGCAGATAGAGACCATACTGTGCAACCTTTAGAGTCTGCATTGGGCCTAGGTCTCACTGAGGAGAGATAGAGAGCACACTGTGTAACCTTTAGAGACTGCATAGGGCCTCGGTCTCATTGAGGACCGATAGAGAGCAGACTGTGCCACCTTTAGAGTCTGCATTGGGCCTGGGTCTCATTGAGGACAAATAGAGAGCAGACTGTGCAACCTTTAGAGTCTGCATTGGGCCTAGGTCTCATTGAGGACAGATGGAGAGCAGACTGTGCAACCTATAGAGTCTGCATTGGGCCTAGGTCTCATTGAGGACAGATGGAAAGCAGACTGTGCAACCTTTAGAGTCTGCATTGGACCTAGGTCTCATTGAGGACAGATAGAGAGCAGACTATGCAAACTTTAGAGGCTGGACTGAGCCTAGGTCTCATTGAGGACAGATAGAGAGCAGACTGTGCAACCTTTACAGTCTGCATTGGGCCTGGGCCTCATTCAGGACAGATAGAGACCAGACTGTGCAACCTTTAGAGTCTGCATTGGGCCTAGGTCTCATTGAGAGTAGATAGAGAGCAGACTGTGCAACCTTTAGAGTCTACATTGGGCCTAGGTCTCATTGAGGGCAGATAGAGAGCAGACTGTGCAACCTTTAGAGTCTGCACTTGGCCTAGGTCTCATTGAGGACACATAGAGAGCAGACTGTGCAACCTTTAGAGTCTGCATTGGGCCTAGGTCTCATTGAGGGCAGATAGAGAGCAGACTGTGCAAACTTTAGAGTTTGCATTGGGCCTAGGTCTCATTGAGGAGAGATAGAGAGCAGACTGTGCAACCTTTAGAGTCTGCATTGGGCCTAGGTCTCATTGAGGACAGATGGAGAGCACACTGTGCAACCTTTAGAGTCCGCATTGGGCCTAGGTCTCATTGAGGACAGATAGAGACCAGACTGTGCAACCTTTAGAGTTTGCATTGGGCCTAGGTCTCATTGAGGGCAGATAGAGAGCAGACTGTGCAACCTTTAGAGTCTGCATTGGGCCTAGGTCTCATTGAGGACCGATAGAGAGCAGACTGTGCAACCTTTAGACTCTGCATTGGGCCTGGGTCTCATTGAGGACAAATAGAGAACAGACTGTGCAACCTTTAGAGTCTGCATTGGGCCTAGGTATCAGTGAGGACAGATAGAGAGGAGACTGTGCAACCTTTAGAGTCTGCACTGGGCCTAGGTCTCTTTGAGGACAGACAGAGAGCAGACTGTGCAAACTTTAGAGTCTGCACTGGGCCTAGGTGTCATTGAGGACAGATAGAGACCAGACTGTGCAACCTTTAGAGTCTGCATTGGGCCTAGGTCTCCTTGAGGTCAGATAGACAGCAGAATCTGCAACCTTTAGAGTCTGCATTGGGCCTAGGTCTAATTGCGGACAGATAGACAGCAGACTGTGCAACGTTTAGAGTCTGCATTGGGCCTAGGTCTAATTGCGGACAGATAGAGAGCAGACTATGCAACGTTTAGAGTCTGCATTGGGCCTGGGTCTCATTGAGGACAGATAGAGAGCAGACTGTGCAACCTTTAGAGTCTCTATTGGGCCTAGGTCTCATTGAGGACAGATAGGGAGAGGACTGTGCAACCTTTAGAGTCTGCATTGGGCCTAGGTCTCATTGAGGGCAGATAGAGAGCAGGCTCGGGAACCCTTAGAGTCTGCATTGGGCCTAGATCTCATTGAGGACAGATAGAGAGCATACTATGCAACCTTTAGAGTCTGCACTGGGCCTAGGTCTCATTGAGGACACATAGAGAGCAGACTGTGCAACCTTTAGAGTCTGCATTGGGCCTATGTCTCATTGAGGACAGTTAGAGAGCAGGCTGTGCAACCTTTACAGTCTGCATTTGGCCTAGGTCTCATTGAGGACAGAAAGAGACCAGAGTGCGCAAACTTTAGAGTCTGCATTGGGCCTAGGTCTCATTGAGGACAGATAGAGAGCAGACTGTAGAACCTTTATAGTCTGCATTGGGCCTAGGTCTCATTGAGGTCAGATAGAGAGCAGACTGTGCAAGCTTTAGAGTCTGCACTTGGCCTAGGTCTCATTGAGGACAGATAGAGAACAGACTGTGCAACCTTTAGAGTCTGCATTGGGCCTAGGTCTCATTGAGGGCAGTTAGAGAGCAGACTGTGCAACCTTTAGAGTCTGCATTGGGCCTAGGTCTCATTGAGAGCAGATAGAGAGCACACTGTGCAACCTCTAGAGTCGGCATTGGGCCTAGGTCTCATTGAGGACAGATAGAGACCAGACTGTGCAAACTTTAGAGTCTGCATTGGGCCTAGGTCTCATTGAGGACAGATAGAGGGCAGACTGTGCAACCTTTAGAGTCTGCATTGAGCCTAGGTCTCATTGAGGACAGATAGAGAGCAGACTGTGCAACCTTTCGAGTCTGCACTGGGCCTAGGTCTCATTGAGGGCATATAGAGACCATACTGTGCAAACTTTAGAGTCTGCATTGGGTCTAGGTCTCACTGAGGAGAGATAGAGAGCAGACTTTGCAAACTTTAGAGTCTGCATTAGGTCTAGGTCTCACTGAGGACTGATAGAGAGCAGACTATGCAACTTTAGAGTCTGCACTGGCCCTAGGTCTCATTGAGGACAGATAGAGAGCAGACTGCGCAAACTTTAGAGTCTGCATTGGGTCTAGGTCTCATTGAGGACAGATAGAGAGCACACTGTGTAACCTTTAGAGTCTGCATAGAGCCTCGGTCTCATTGAGGACCGATAGAGAGCAGACTGTGCCACCTTTAGAGTCTGCATTGGGCCTGGGTCTCACTGAGGAGAAATAGAGAGCAGACTGTGCAACCTTTAGAGTCTGCATTGGGCCTAGGTCTCATTGAGGACAGATGGAGAGCAGACTGTGCAACCTTTAGAGTCTGCATTGGGCCTAGGTCTCATTGAGGGCAGATAGAGAGCAGACTGTGCAACCTTTAGAGTCTGCATTGGGCCTAGGTCTCATTGAGAGCAGATAGAGAGCATACTGTGCAACCTTTAGAGTCGGCATTGGGCCTAGGTCTCATTGAGGACAGATAGAGACCAGACTGTGCAACCTTTAGAGTCTGCATTGGGCCTAGGTCTCATTGAGGACAGATAGAGAGCAGACTATGCAACCATTAGAGTCGACACTGGTCCTAGGTCTCATTGAGGACAGATATAGAGCAGACTGTGCAACCTTTAGAGTCTGCATTGTGCCTGGGTCTCATTGAGGACAGATAGAGAGCAGACTAGGCAACCATTAGAGTCGACACTGGTCCTAGGTCTAATTGAGGACAGATATAGTGCAGACTGTGCAACCTTTAGAGTCTGCATTGGGCCTGGGTCTTATTGAGGACAGATAGAGACCAGACTGTGCAACCTTTAGAGTCTGCACTGGGCCTAGGTCTCATTGAGGACAGATAGAGGGCAGACTGTGCAACCTTTAGAGTCTGCATTGGGCCTAGGTCTCATTGAGGACAGATAGAGAGCAGACTGTGCAACCTTTAGAGTCTGCACTGGGCCTAGGTCTCATTGAGGGCAGATAGAGACCATACTGTGCAACCTTTAGAATCTGCATTGGGTCTAGGTCTCACTGAGGAGAGATAGAGAGCAGACTTTGCAAACTTTAGAGTCTGCATTGGGTCTAGGTCTCACTGAGGACTGATAGAGAGCAGACTATGCAACCTTTAGAGTCTGCACTGGCACTAGGTCTCATTGAGGACAGATACAGAGCAGACTGCGCAAACTTTAGAGTCTGCATTGGGCCTAGGTCTCATTGAGGACAGATAGAGAGCACACTGTGTAACCTTTAGAGTCTGCATAGGGCCTCGGTCTCTATGAGGACCGATAGAGAGCAGACTGTGCAACCTTTAGAGTCTGCATTGGGCCTGGGTCTCATTGAGGACAAATAGAGAGCAGACTGTGCAACCTTTAGAGTCTGCATTGGGCCTAGGTCTCATTGAGGAGAGATGGAGAGCAGACTGTGCAACCTTTAGAGTCTGCATTGGGCCTAGGTCTCATTGAGAGCAGATAGAGAGCAGAGTGTGCAACCTTTAGAGTCTGCATTGGGCCTAGGTCTCATTGAGGGCAGATAGAGACCAGACTGTGCAACCTTTAGAGTCTGCATTGGGCCTAGGTCTCATTGAGGACAGATAGAGGGCAGACTGTGCAACCTTTAGAGTCTGCATTGGGCCTAGGTCTCATTGAGGACAGATAGAGAGCAGACTTTGCAAACTTTAGAGTCTGCACTGGGCCTAGGTCTCATTGAGGGCATATAGAGACCATACTGTGCAAACTTTAGAGTCTGCATTGGGTCTAGGTCTCACTGAGGAGAGATAGAGAGCAGACTTTGCAAACTTCAGAGTCTGCATTAGGTCTAGGTCTCACTGAGGACTGATAGAGAGCAGACTATGCAACTTTAGAGTCTGCCTGGCCCTAGGTCTCATTGAGGACAGATAGAGAGCAGACTGCGCAAACTTTAGAGTCTGCATTGGGCCTAGGTCTCACTGAGGACAGATAGAGAGCACACTGTGTAACCTTTAGAGTTTGCATAGGGCCTCGGTCTCATTGAGGACCGATAGAGAGCAGACTGTGCAACCTTTAGAGTCTGCATTGGGCCTGGGTCTCATTGAGGAAAAATAGAGAGCAGACTGTGCAACCTTTAGAGTCTGCATTGGGCCTAGGTCTCATTGAGGGCAGATAGAGAGCAGACTGTGCAACCTTTAGAGTCTGCACTAGGGCTAGGTCTCATCGAGGACAGATAGAGAGCAGACTGTGCAACATTTAGAGTCTGCATTGGACCTAGGTCTCACTGAGGACAGATAGAGAGCAGACTATGCAAACTTTACAGTCTGCACTGGGCCTAGGTCTCATTGAGGACAGATAGAGAGCAGACTGTGCAACCTTTACAGTCTGCATTGGGCCTGGGTCTCATTCAGGAGAGATAGAGACCAGAATGTGCAACCTTTAGAGTTTGCATTGGGCCTAGGTCTCTTGAGAGCAGATAGAGAGCAGACTGTGCAACCTTTACAGTCTGCATTGGGCCTAGGTCTCATTGAGGGCCGATAGAGAGCAGACTGTGCAAACTTTAGAGTCTGCACTGGGCCTAGGTCTGATTGAGGACACATAGAGAGCAGACTGTGCAACCTTTAGAGTCTGCATTTGGCCTAGGTCTCATTGAGGACAGATGGAGAGCACACTGTGCAACCTTTAGAGTCCGCATTGGGCCTAGGTCTCATTGAGGACAGATAGAGACCAGACTGTGCAACCTTTAGAGTTTGCATTGGGCCTAGGTCTCATTGAGGGCAGATAGAGAGCAGACTGTGCAACCTTTAGAGTCTGCATTGGGCCTAGGTCTCATTGAGGACCGATAGAGAGCAGACTGTGCAACCTTTAGACTCTGCATTGGGCCTGGGTCTCATTGAGGACAAATAGAGAACAGACTGTGCAACCTTTAGAGTCTGCATTGGGCCTAGGTATCAGTGAGGACAGATAGAGAGGAGACTGTGCAACCTTTAGAGTCTGCACTGGGCCTAGGTCTCTTTGAGGACAGACAGAGAGCAGACTGTGCAAACTTTAGAGTCTGCACTGGGCCTAGGTGTCATTGAGGACAGATAGAGACCAGACTGTGCAACCTTTAGAGTCTGCATTGGGCCTAGGTCTCCTTGAGGTCAGATAGACAGCAGAATCTGCAACCTTTAGAGTCTGCATTGGGCCTAGGTCTAATTGCGGACAGATAGACAGCAGACTGTGCAACGTTTAGAGTCTGCATTGGGCCTAGGTCTAATTGCGGACAGATAGAGAGCAGACTATGCAACGTTTAGAGTCTGCATTGGGCCTGGGTCTCATTGAGGACAGATAGAGAGCAGACTGTGCAACCTTTAGAGTCTCTATTGGGCCTAGGTCTCATTGAGGACAGATAGGGAGAGGACTGTGCAACCTTTAGAGTCTGCATTGGGCCTAGGTCTCATTGAGGGCAGATAGAGAGCAGGCTCGGGAACCCTTAGAGTCTGCATTGGGCCTAGATCTCATTGAGGACAGATAGAGAGCATACTATGCAACCTTTAGAGTCTGCACTGGGCCTAGGTCTCATTGAGGACACATAGAGAGCAGACTGTGCAACCTTTAGAGTCTGCATTGGGCCTATGTCTCATTGAGGACAGTTAGAGAGCAGGCTGTGCAACCTTTACAGTCTGCATTTGGCCTAGGTCTCATTGAGGACAGAAAGAGACCAGAGTGCGCAAACTTTAGAGTCTGCATTGGGCCTAGGTCTCATTGAGGACAGATAGAGAGCAGACTGTAGAACCTTTATAGTCTGCATTGGGCCTAGGTCTCATTGAGGTCAGATAGAGAGCAGACTGTGCAAGCTTTAGAGTCTGCACTTGGCCTAGGTCTCATTGAGGACAGATAGAGAACAGACTGTGCAACCTTTAGAGTCTGCATTGGGCCTAGGTCTCATTGAGGGCAGTTAGAGAGCAGACTGTGCAACCTTTAGAGTCTGCATTGGGCCTAGGTCTCATTGAGAGCAGATAGAGAGCACACTGTGCAACCTCTAGAGTCGGCATTGGGCCTAGGTCTCATTGAGGACAGATAGAGACCAGACTGTGCAAACTTTAGAGTCTGCATTGGGCCTAGGTCTCATTGAGGACAGATAGAGGGCAGACTGTGCAACCTTTAGAGTCTGCATTGAGCCTAGGTCTCATTGAGGACAGATAGAGAGCAGACTGTGCAACCTTTCGAGTCTGCACTGGGCCTAGGTCTCATTGAGGGCATATAGAGACCATACTGTGCAAACTTTAGAGTCTGCATTGGGTCTAGGTCTCACTGAGGAGAGATAGAGAGCAGACTTTGCAAACTTTAGAGTCTGCATTAGGTCTAGGTCTCACTGAGGACTGATAGAGAGCAGACTATGCAACTTTAGAGTCTGCACTGGCCCTAGGTCTCATTGAGGACAGATAGAGAGCAGACTGCGCAAACTTTAGAGTCTGCATTGGGTCTAGGTCTCATTGAGGACAGATAGAGAGCACACTGTGTAACCTTTAGAGTCTGCATAGAGCCTCGGTCTCATTGAGGACCGATAGAGAGCAGACTGTGCCACCTTTAGAGTCTGCATTGGGCCTGGGTCTCACTGAGGAGAAATAGAGAGCAGACTGTGCAACCTTTAGAGTCTGCATTGGGCCTAGGTCTCATTGAGGACAGATGGAGAGCAGACTGTGCAACCTTTAGAGTCTGCATTGGGCCTAGGTCTCATTGAGGGCAGATAGAGAGCAGACTGTGCAACCTTTAGAGTCTGCATTGGGCCTAGGTCTCATTGAGAGCAGATAGAGAGCATACTGTGCAACCTTTAGAGTCGGCATTGGGCCTAGGTCTCATTGAGGACAGATAGAGACCAGACTGTGCAACCTTTAGAGTCTGCATTGGGCCTAGGTCTCATTGAGGACAGATAGAGAGCAGACTATGCAACCATTAGAGTCGACACTGGTCCTAGGTCTCATTGAGGACAGATATAGAGCAGACTGTGCAACCTTTAGAGTCTGCATTGTGCCTGGGTCTCATTGAGGACAGATAGAGAGCAGACTAGGCAACCATTAGAGTCGACACTGGTCCTAGGTCTAATTGAGGACAGATATAGTGCAGACTGTGCAACCTTTAGAGTCTGCATTGGGCCTGGGTCTTATTGAGGACAGATAGAGACCAGACTGTGCAACCTTTAGAGTCTGCACTGGGCCTAGGTCTCATTGAGGACAGATAGAGGGCAGACTGTGCAACCTTTAGAGTCTGCATTGGGCCTAGGTCTCATTGAGGACAGATAGAGAGCAGACTGTGCAACCTTTAGAGTCTGCACTGGGCCTAGGTCTCATTGAGGGCAGATAGAGACCATACTGTGCAACCTTTAGAATCTGCATTGGGTCTAGGTCTCACTGAGGAGAGATAGAGAGCAGACTTTGCAAACTTTAGAGTCTGCATTGGGTCTAGGTCTCACTGAGGACTGATAGAGAGCAGACTATGCAACCTTTAGAGTCTGCACTGGCACTAGGTCTCATTGAGGACAGATACAGAGCAGACTGCGCAAACTTTAGAGTCTGCATTGGGCCTAGGTCTCATTGAGGACAGATAGAGAGCACACTGTGTAACCTTTAGAGTCTGCATAGGGCCTCGGTCTCTATGAGGACCGATAGAGAGCAGACTGTGCAACCTTTAGAGTCTGCATTGGGCCTGGGTCTCATTGAGGACAAATAGAGAGCAGACTGTGCAACCTTTAGAGTCTGCATTGGGCCTAGGTCTCATTGAGGAGAGATGGAGAGCAGACTGTGCAACCTTTAGAGTCTGCATTGGGCCTAGGTCTCATTGAGAGCAGATAGAGAGCAGAGTGTGCAACCTTTAGAGTCTGCATTGGGCCTAGGTCTCATTGAGGGCAGATAGAGACCAGACTGTGCAACCTTTAGAGTCTGCATTGGGCCTAGGTCTCATTGAGAGCAGATAGAGAGCAGACTGTGCAACCTTTAGAGTCTGCATTGGGCCTAGGTCTCATTGAGGACAGATGGAGAGCACACTGTGCAACCTTTAGAGTCCGCATTGGGCCTAGGTGTCATTGAGGACAGATAGAGACCAGACTGTGCAACCTTTAGAGTCTGCATTGGGCCTAGGTCTCCTTGAGGTCAGATAGACAGCAGACTCTGCAACCTTTAGAGTCTGCATTGGGCCTAGGTCTAATTGCGGACAGATAGACAGCAGACTGTGCAACGTTTAGAGTCTGCATTGGGCCTAGGTCTAATTGCGGACAGATAGAGAGCAGACTATGCAACGTTTAGAGTCTGCATTGGGCCTGGGTCTCATTGAGGACAGATAGAGAGCAGACTGTGCAACCTTTAGAGTCTCTATTGGGCCTAGGTCTCATTGAGGACAGATAGGGAGCGGACTGTGCAACCTTTAGAGTCTGCATTGGGCCTAGGTCTCATTGACGGCAGACAGAGAGCAGGCTCGGCAACCCTTAGAGTCTGCATTGGGCCTAGATCTCATTGAGGACAGATAGAGAGCATACTATGCAACCTTTAGAGTCTGCACTGGGCTTAGTTCTCATTGAGGAAACATAGAGAGCAGACTGTGCAACCTTTAGAGTCTGCATTAGGCCTATGTCTCATTGAGGACAGTTAGAGAGCAGACTGTGCTACCTTTAGAGTCTGCATTTGGCCTAGGTCTCATTGAGTACAGAAAGAGACCAGAGTGTGCAACCTTTAGAGTCTGCATTGGGCCTGGGTCTCATTGAGGACAGATAGAGAGGAGACTGTAGAACCTTTATAGTCTGCATTGGGCCTAGGTCTCATTGAGGTCAGATAGGGAGCAGACTGGGCAAGCTTTAGAGTCTGCACTTGGCCTAGGTCTCATTGAGGACAGATAGAGAACAGACTGTGCAACCTTTAGAGTCTGCATTGGGCCTAGGTCTCATTGAGGGCAGTTAGAGAGCAGACTGTGCAACCTTTAGAGTCTGCATTGGGCCTAGGTCTCATTGAGAGCAGATAGAGAGCACACTGTGCAACCTCTAGAGTCGGCATTGGGCCTAGGTCTCATTGAGGACAGATAGAGACCAGACTGTGCAAACTTTAGAGTCTGCATTGGGCCTAGGTCTCATTGAGGACAGATGGAGAGCAGACTGTGCAACCTTTAGAGTCTGCATTGGGCCTAGGTCTCATTGAGGGCACATAGAGAGCAGACTGTGCAACCTTTAGAGTCTGCATTGGGCCTAGGTCTCATTGAGAGAAGATAGAGAGCATACAGTGCAACCTTTAGAGTCGGCATTGGGCCTAGGTCTCATTGAGGGCACATAGAGAGCAGACTGTGCAACCTTTAGAGTCTGCATTGGGCCTAGGTCTCATTGAGAGAAGATAGAGAGCATACAGTGCAACCTTTAGAGTCGGCATTGGGCCTAGGTCTCATTGAGGACAGATAGAGACCAGACTGTGAAACCTTTAGAGTCTGCATTGGGCCTAGGTCTCATTGAGGACAGATAGAGAGCAGAGTAGGCAACCATTAGAGTCGGCACTGGTCCTAGGTCTCATTGAGGACAGATATAGAGCAGACTGTGCAACCTTTAGAGTCTGCATTGGGCCTGGGTCTCATTGAGGACAGATAGAGAGCAGACTGTGCAACCTTTAGAGGCTGCACTGGGCCTAGGTCTCATTGAGGACAGATAGAGGGCAGACTGTGCAACCTTTAGAGTCTGCATTGGGCCTAGGTCTCATTGAGGACCGATAGAGAGCAGACTGTGCAACCTTTAGAGTCTGCACTGGGCCTAGGTCTCATTGAGGGCAGATAGAGACCATACTGTGCAACCTTTAGAGTCTGCATTGGGCCTAGGTCTCACTGAGGAGAGATAGAGAGCACACTGTGTAACCTTTAGAGACTGCATAGGGCCTCGGTCTCATTGAGGACCGATAGAGAGCAGACTGTGCCACCTTTAGAGTCTGCATTGGGCCTGGGTCTCATTGAGGACAAATAGAGAGCAGACTGTGCAACCTTTAGAGTCTGCATTGGGCCTAGGTCTCATTGAGGACAGATGGAGAGCAGACTGTGCAACCTATAGAGTCTGCATTGGGCCTAGGTCTCATTGAGGACAGATGGAAAGCAGACTGTGCAACCTTTAGAGTCTGCATTGGACCTAGGTCTCATTGAGGACAGATAGAGAGCAGACTATGCAAACTTTAGAGGCTGGACTGAGCCTAGGTCTCATTGAGGACAGATAGAGAGCAGACTGTGCAACCTTTACAGTCTGCATTGGGCCTGGGCCTCATTCAGGACAGATAGAGACCAGACTGCGCAACCTTTAGAGTCTGCATTGGGCCTAGGTCTCATTGAGAGTAGATAGAGAGCAGACTGTGCAACCTTTAGAGTCTACATTGGGCCTAGGTCTCATTGAGGGCAGATGGAGAGCAGACTGTGCAACCTTTAGAGTCTGCACTTGGCCTAGGTCTCATTGAGGACACATAGAGAGCAGACTGTGCAACCTTTAGAGTCTGCATTGGGCCTAGGTCTCATTGAGGGCAGATAGAGAGCAGACTGTGCAAACTTTAGAGTTTGCATTGGGCCTAGGTCTCATTGAGGAGAGATAGAGAGCAGACTGTGCAACCTTTAGAGTCTGCATTGGGCCTAGGTCTCATTGAGGACAGATGGAGAGCACACTGTGCAACCTTTAGAGTCCGCATTGGGCCTAGGTCTCATTGAGGACAGATAGAGACCAGACTGTGCAACCTTTAGTGTTTGCATTGGGCCTAGGTCTCATTGAGGGCAGATAGAGAGCAGAATGTGCAACCCTTAGAGTCTGCATTGGGCCTAGGTCTCATTGAGGACAGATAGAGAGCAGACTGTGCAACCTTTAGAGTCTGCACTGGGCCTAGGTCTCTTTGAGGACAGACAGAGAGCAGACTGTGCAAACTTTAGAGTCTGCACTGGGCCTAGGTCTCATTGAGGACACATAGAGAGCAGACTGTGCAACCTTTAGAGTCTGCATTGGGCCTATGTCTCATTGAGGACAGTTAGAGAGCAGACTGTGCAAACTTTAGAGTCTGCATTTGGCCTACGTCTCATTGAGGACAAAAAGAGACCAGAGTGTGCAACCTTTAGAGTCGGCATTGGGACTCGGTCTCATTGAGGACAGATAGAGAGCAGACTGTAGAACCTTCATAGTCTGCATTGGGCCTAGGTCTCATTGAGGTCAGATAGAGAGCAGACTGTGCAAGCTTTAGAGTCTGCACTTGGCCTAGGTCTCATTGAGGACAGATAGAGAGCAGACTGTGCAAACTTTAGAGTCTGCATTGGGCCTAGGTCTCATTGAGGGCAGATAGAGACCAGACTATGCAACGTTTAGAGTCTGCATTGGGCCTAGGTGTCATTGAGGGCAGTTAGAGAGCAGACTGTGCAACCTTTAGAATCTGCATTGGGCCTAGGTCTCATTGAGAGCAGATAGAGAGCACACTGTGCAAACTTTAGAGTCGGCATTGGGCCTAGGTCTCATTGAGGACAGATAGAGACCGGACTGTGCAACCTTTAGAGTCTGCATTGGGCCTAGGTCTCATTGAGGACAGATAGAGAGCACACTAGGCAACCATTAGAGTCCGCACTGGTCCTAGGTCTCATTGAGGACAGATATAGAGCAGACTGTGCAACCTTTAGAGTCTGCATTGGGCCTGGGTCTCATTGAGGACAGATAGCGACCAGACTGTACAACCTTTAGAGTCTGCATTGGGCTTAGGTCTCATTGAGGGCAGTTAGAGAGCAGACTGTGCAACCTTTAGAGTCTGCATTGGGCCTAGGTCTCATTGAGAGCAGATAGAGAGCACACTGTGCAACCTCTAGAGTCGGCATTGGGCCTAGGTCTCATTGAGGACAGATAGAGACCAGACTGTTGAAACTTTAGAGGCTGCATTGGGCCTAGGTCTCATTGAGGACAGATAGAGGGCAGACTGTGCAACCTTTAGAGTCTGCAATGGACCTAGGTCTCATTGAGGACAGATACGGAGCAGACTGTGCAAACTTTAAAGTCTGCACTGAGCCTAGGTCTCATTGAGGGCAGATAGAGACCAGACTGTGCAACCTTTAGAGTCTGCATTGGGTCTAGGTCTCACTGAGGCGAGATAGAGAGCAGACTTTGCAAACTTTAGAGTCTCCATTGGGTCTAGGTCTCACTGAGGACTGATAGGAGCAGACTATGCAACCTTTAGAGTCTGCACTGGCCCTAGGTCTCATTGAGGACAGATAGAGAGCAGACTGCGCAAACTTTAGAGTCTGCATTGGGCCTAGGTCTCACTGAGGACAGATAGAGAGCACACTGTGTAACCTTTAGAGTCTGCATAGAGCCTCGGTCTCATTGAGGACAGATAGAGAGCAGACTGTGCAACCTTTAGAGTCTCTATTGGGCCTAGATCTCATTGAGGACAGATAGGGAGCGGACTGTGCAACCTTTAGAGTCTGCATTGGGCCTAGGTCTCATTGAGGGCAGATAGAGAGCAGGCTCGGCAACCCTTAGAGTCTGCATTGGGCCTAGATCTTATTGAGGACAGATAGAGAGCATACTATGCAACCTTGAGAGTCTGCACTGGGCCTAGGTCTCATTGAGGACACATAGAGAGCAGACTGTGCAACCTTTAGAGTCTGCATTGGGCCTATGTCTCATTGAGGACAGTTAGAGAGCAGACTGTGCAACCTTTAGAGTCTGCATTTGGCCTAGGTCTCATTGAGGACAGAAAGAGACCAGAGTGTGCAACCTTTAGAGTTTGCATTGGGCCTAGGTCTCATTGAGGACAGATAGAGAGCAGACTGTAGAACCTTTATAGTCTGCATTGGGCCTAGGTCTCATTGAGGTCAGATAGAGAGCAGACTGTGCAAGCTTTAGAGTCTACACTTGGCCTAGGTCTCATTGAGGACAGATAGAGAACAGACTGTGCAAACTTTAGAGTCTGCATTGGGCCTAGGTCTCATTGAGGGCAGTTAGAGAGCAGACTGTGCAACCTTTAGAGTCTGCATTGGGCCTAGGTCTCATTGAGAGCAGATAGAGAGCACACTGTGCAACCTCTAGAGTCGGCATTGGGCCTAGGTCTCATTGAGGACAGATAGAGACCAGACTGTGCAAACTTTAGAGTCTGCATTGGGCCTAGGTCTCATTGAGGACAGATAGAGGGCAGACTGTGCAACGTTTAGAGTCTGCATTGGGCCTAGGTCTCATTGAGGACAGATAGAGAGCAGACTGTGAAACCTTTAGAGTCTGCACTGGGCCTAGGTCTCATTGAGGGCAGATAGAGACCATACTGTGCAACCTTTAGAGTCTGCATTGGGTCTAGGTCTCACTGAGGAGAGATAGAGAGCAGACTTTGCAAACTTTAGAGTCTACATTAGGTCTACGTCTCACTGAGGACTGATAGAGAGCAGACTATGCAACCTTTAGAGTCTGCACTGGCCCTAGGTCTCATTGAGGACACATAGAGAGCAGACTGCGCAAACTTTAGAGTTTGCATTGGGCCTAGGTCTCACTGAGGACAGATAGAGAGCACACTGTGTAACCTTTAGAGTCTGCGTAGGGCCTCGGTCTCATTGAGGACCGATAGAGAGCAGACTGTGCCACCTTTAGAGTCTGCATTGGGCCTGGGTCTCATGGAGGAGAAATAGAGAGCAGACTGTGCAACCTTTAGAGTCTGCATTGGGCCTAGGTCTCATTGAGGACAGATGGAGAGCAGACTGTGCAACCTTTAGAGTCTGCATTGGGTCTATGTCTCATTGAGGGCAGATAGAGACCAGACTGTGCAACCTTTAGAGTTTGCATTGGGCCTAGGTCTCATTGAGGGCAGATAGAGAGCAGACTGTGCCACCTTTAGAGTCTACATTGGGCCTAGGTCTCATTGAGGACAGATAGAGAGCAGACTGTGCAACCTTTATAGTCTGCACTGGGCCTAGGTCTCTTTGAGGACAGACAGAGAGCAGACTGTGCAAACTTTAGAGTCTGCACTGGGCCTAGGTGTCATTGAGGACAGATAGAGACCAGACTGTGCAACCTTTAGAGTCTGCATTGGGCCTAGGTCTCCTTGAGGTCAGATAGGCAGCAGACTGTGCAACCTTTAGAGTCTGCATTGGGTCTAGGTCTAATTGCGGACAGATGGAGAGCAGACTATGCAAAGTTTACAGTCTGCATTGGGCCTGGGTCTCATTGAGGACAGATAGAGAGCAGACTGTGCAACCTTTAGAGTCTCTATTGGGCCTAGGTCTCATTGAGGACAGATAGAGAGCAGACTGTGCAACCTTTAGAGTCTGCATTGGGCCTAGGTCTCATTGAGGGCAGATAGAGAGCAGGCTCGGCAACCCTTAGAGTCTGCGTTGGGCTTAGATCTCATTGAGGACAGATAGAGAGCATACTATGCAACCTTTAGAGTCTGCACTGGGCCTAGGTCTCATTGAGGACACATAGAGAGCAGACTGTGGAACCTTTAGAGTCTGCATTGGGCCTATGTCTCAATGAGGACAGTTAGAGAGCAGACTGTGCAACCTTTAGAGTCTGCATTGGGCCTAGGTCTCATTGAGGACAGATAGAGAGCAGACTGTAGAACCTTTATAGTCTGCATTGGGCCTAGGTCTCATTGAGGTCAGATAGAGAGCAGACTGTGCAAGCTTTAGAGTCTGCACTTGGCCTAGGTCTCATTGAGGACAGATAGAGAGCAGACTGTGCAACCTTTAGAGTCTGCATTGGGCCTAGGTCTTATTGAGGGCAGATAGAGACCAGACTATGCAACGTTTAGAGTCTGCATTGGGCCTAGGTGTCATTGAGGGCAGTTAGAGAGCAGACTGTGCTACCTTTAGAGTCTGCATTAGGCCTAGGTCTCATTGAGAGCAGATAGAGAGCACACTGTGCAAACTTTAGAGTCGGCATTGGGCCTAGGTCTCATTGAGGACAGATAGAGACCGGACTGTGCAACCTTTAGAGTCTGCATTGGGCCTAGGTCTCATTGAGGACAGATAAAGAGCAGACTAGGCAACCATTAGAGTCGGCACTGGTCCTAAGTCTCATTGAGGACAGATATAGAGGAGACTGTGTAACCTTTAGAGTCTGCATTGGGCCTGGGTCTCATTGAGGACAGATAGAGAACAGACTGTGCAACCTTTAGAGTCTGCATTGGGTCTAGGTCTCATTGAGGGCAGTTAGAGAGCAGACTGTGCCACCTTTAGAGTCTGCATTGGGCCTAGGTCTCATCGACAGCAGATAGAGAGCACACTGTGCAACCTCTAGAGTCGGCATTGGGCCTAGGTCTCATTGAGGACAGATAGAGACCAGACTGTTAAAACTTTAGAGTCTGCATTGGGCCTAGGTCTAATTGAGGACAGATAGAGGGCAGACTGTGCAACCTTTAGAGTCTGCATTGGGCCTAGGTCTCATTGAGGGCAGATAGAGAGCAGGCTCGGGAACCCTTAGAGTCTGCATTGGGCCTAGATCTCATTGAGGACAGATAGAGAGCATACTATGCAACCTTTAGAGTCTGCATTGGGCCTAGGTCTCATTGAGAGCACATAGAGAGCAGACTGTGCAACCTTTAGAGTCTGCATTGGGCCTATGTCTCATTGAGGACAGTTAGAGAGCAGGCTGTGCAACCTTTACAGTCTGCATTTGGCCTAGGTCTCATTGAGGACAGAAAGAGACCAGAGTGCGCAAACTTTAGAGTCTGCATTGGGCCTAGGTCTCATTGAGGACAGATAGAGAGCAGACTGTAGAACCTTTATAGTCTGCATTGGGCCTAGGTCTCATTGAGGTCAGATAGAGAGCAGACTGTGCAAGCTTTAGAGTCTGCACTTGGCCTAGGTCTCATTGAGGACAGATAGAGAACAGACTGTGCAACCTTTAGAGTCTGCATTGGGCCTAGGTCTCATTGAGGGCAGTTAGAGAGCAGACTGTGCAACCTTTAGAGTCTGCATTGGGCCTAGGTCTCATTGAGAGCAGATAGAGAGCACACTGTGCAACCTCTAGAGTCGGCATTGGGCCTAGGTCTCATTGAGGACAGATAGAGACCAGACTGTGCAAACTTTAGAGTCTGCATTGGGCCTAGGTCTCATTGAGGACAGATAGAGGGCAGACTGTGCAACCTTTAGAGTCTGCATTGAGCCTAGGTCTCATTGAGGACAGATAGAGAGCAGACTGTGCAACCTTTCGAGTCTGCACTGGGCCTAGGTCTCATTGAGGGCATATAGAGACCATACTGTGCAAACTTTAGAGTCTGCATTGGGTCTAGGTCTCACTGAGGAGAGATAGAGAGCAGACTTTGCAAACTTTAGAGTCTGCATTAGGTCTAGGTCTCACTGAGGACTGATAGAGAGCAGACTATGCAACTTTAGAGTCTGCACTGGCCCTAGGTCTCATTGAGGACAGATAGAGAGCAGACTGCGCAAACTTTAGAGTCTGCATTGGGTCTAGGTCTCATTGAGGACAGATAGAGAGCACACTGTGTAACCTTTAGAGTCTGCATAGAGCCTCGGTCTCATTGAGGACCGATAGAGAGCAGACTGTGCCACCTTTAGAGTCTGCATTGGGCCTGGGTCTCACTGAGGAGAAATAGAGAGCAGACTGTGCAACCTTTAGAGTCTGCATTGGGCCTAGGTCTCATTGAGGACAGATGGAGAGCAGACTGTGCAACCTTTAGAGTCTGCATTGGGCCTAGGTCTCATTGAGGGCAGATAGAGAGCAGACTGTGCAACCTTTAGAGTCTGCATTGGGCCTAGGTCTCATTGAGAGCAGATAGAGAGCATACTGTGCAACCTTTAGAGTCGGCATTGGGCCTAGGTCTCATTGAGGACAGATAGAGACCAGACTGTGCAACCTTTAGAGTCTGCATTGGGCCTAGGTCTCATTGAGGACAGATAGAGAGCAGACTATGCAACCATTAGAGTCGACACTGGTCCTAGGTCTCATTGAGGACAGATATAGAGCAGACTGTGCAACCTTTAGAGTCTGCATTGTGCATGGGTCTCATTGAGGACAGATAGAGAGCAGACTAGGCAACCATTAGAGTCGACACTGGTCCTAGGTCTAATTGAGGACAGATATAGTGCAGACTGTGCAACCTTTAGAGTCTGCATTGGGCCTGGGTCTCATTGAGGACAGATAGAGACCAGACTGTGCAACCTTTAGAGTCTGCACTGGGCCTAGGTCTCATTGAGGACAGATAGAGGGCAGACTGTGCAACCTTTAGAGTCTGCATTGGGCCTAGGTCTCATTGAGGACAGATAGAGAGCAGACTGTGCAACCTTTAGAGTCTGCACTGGGCCTAGGTCTCATTGAGGGCAGATAGAGACCATACTGTGCAACCTTTAGAATCTGCATTGGGTCTAGGTCTCACTGAGGAGAGATAGAGAGCAGACTTTGCAAACTTTAGAGTCTGCATTGGGTCTAGGTCTCACTGAGGACTGATAGAGAGCAGACTATGCAACCTTTAGAGTCTGCACTGGCACTAGGTCTCATTGAGGACAGATACAGAGCAGACTGCGCAAACTTTAGAGTCTGCATTGGGCCTAGGTCTCATTGAGGACAGATAGAGAGCACACTGTGTAACCTTTAGAGTCTGCATAGGGCCTCGGTCTCTATGAGGACCGATAGAGAGCAGACTGTGCAACCTTTAGAGTCTGCATTGGGCCTGGGTCTCATTGAGGACAAATAGAGAGCAGACTGTGCAACCTTTAGAGTCTGCATTGGGCCTAGGTCTCATTGAGGAGAGATGGAGAGCAGACTGTGCAACCTTTAGAGTCTGCATTGGGCCTAGGTCTCATTGAGAGCAGATAGAGAGCAGAGTGTGCAACCTTTAGAGTCTGCATTGGGCCTAGGTCTCATTGAGGGCAGATAGAGACCAGACTGTGCAACCTTTAGAGTCTGCATTGGGCCTAGGTCTCATTGAGAGCAGATAGAGAGCAGACTGTGCAACCTTTAGAGTCTGCATTGAGCCTAGGTCTCATTGAGGAGAGATAGAGAGCAGACTGTGCAACCTTTAGAGTCTGCATTGGGCCTAGGTCTCATTGAGGACAGATGGAGAGCACACTGTGCAACCTTTAGAGTCCGCATTGGGCCTAGGTGTCATTGAGGACAGATAGAGACCAGACTGTGCAACCTTTAGAGTCTGCATTGGGCCTAGGTCTCCTTGAGGTCAGATAGACAGCAGACTCTGCAACCTTTAGAGTCTGCATTGGGCCTAGGTCTAATTGCGGACAGATAGACAGCAGACTGTGCAACGTTTAGAGTCTGCATTGGGCCTAGGTCTAATTGCGGACAGATAGAGAGCAGACTATGCAACGTTTAGAGTCTGCATTGGGCCTGGGTCTCATTGAGGACAGATAGAGAGCAGACTGTGCAACCTTTAGAGTCTCTATTGGGCCTAGGTCTCATTGAGGACAGATAGGGAGCGGACTGTGCAACCTTTAGAGTCTGCATTGGGCCTAGGTCTCATTGACGGCAGACAGAGAGCAGGCTCGGCAACCCTTAGAGTCTGCATTGGGCCTAGATCTCATTGAGGACAGATAGAGAGCATACTATGCAACCTTTAGAGTCTGCACTGGGCTTAGTTCTCATTGAGGAAACATAGAGAGCAGACTGTGCAACCTTTAGAGTCTGCATTAGGCCTATGTCTCATTGAGGACAGTTAGAGAGCAGACTGTGCTACCTTTAGAGTCTGCATTTGGCCTAGGTCTCATTGAGTACAGAAAGAGACCAGAGTGTGCAACCTTTAGAGTCTGCATTGGGCCTGGGTCTCATTGAGGACAGATAGAGAGGAGACTGTAGAACCTTTATAGTCTGCATTGGGCCTAGGTCTCATTGAGGTCAGATAGGGAGCAGACTGGGCAAGCTTTAGAGTCTGCACTTGGCCTAGGTCTCATTGAGGACAGATAGAGAACAGACTGTGCAACCTTTAGAGTCTGCATTCGGCCTAGGTCTCATTGAGGGCAGTTAGAGAGCAGACTGTGCAACCTTTAGAGTCTGCATTGGGCCTAGGTCTCATTGAGAGCAGATAGAGAGCACACTGTGCAACCTCTAGAGTCGGCATTGGGCCTAGGTCTCATTGAGGACAGATAGAGACCAGACTGTGCAAACTTTAGAGTCTGCATTGGGCCTAGGTCTCATTGAGGACAGATACAGGGCAGACTGTGCAACCTTTAGAGTCTGCATTGGGCCTAGGTCTCATTGAGGTCAGATAGAGAGCAGACTGTGCAACCTTTAGAGTCTGCACTGGGCCTAGGTCTCATTGAGGGCAGATAGAGACCATACTGTGCAACCTTTAGAGTCTGCATTGGGTCTAGGTCTCACTGAGGAGAGATAGAGAGCAGACTTTGCAAACTTTAGAGTCTGCATTAGGTCTAGGTCTCACTGAGGACTGATAGAGAGCAGATTATGCAACCTTTAGAGTCTGCACTGGCCCTAGGTCTCATTGAGGACAGATAGAGAGCAGACTGCGCAAACTTTAGAGTCTGCATTGGGCCTAGGTCTCATTGAGGACAGATAGAGAGCACACTGTGTAACCTTTAGAGTCTGCATAGGGCCTCGGTCTCATTGAGGACCGATAGAGAGCAGACTGTGCCACCTTTAGAGTCTGCATTGGGCCTGGGTCTCATTGAGGAGAAATAGAGAGCAGACTGTGCAACCTTTAGAGTCTGCATTGGGCCTAGGTCTCATTGAGGACAGATGGAGAGCAGACTGTGCAACCTTTAGAGTCTGCATTGGGCCTAGGTCTCATTGAGGGCACATAGAGAGCAGACTGTGCAACCTTTAGAGTCTGCATTGGGCCTAGGTCTCATTGAGAGAAGATAGAGAGCATACAGTGCAACCTTTAGAGTCGGCATTGGGCCTAGGTCTCATTGAGGACAGATAGAGACCAGACTGTGAAACCTTTAGAGTCTGCATTGGGCCTAGGTCTCATTGAGGACAGATAGAGAGCAGAGTAGGCAACCATTAGAGTCGGCACTGGTCCTAGGTCTCATTGAGGACAGATATAGAGCAGACTGTGCAACCTTTAGAGTCTGCATTGGGCCTGGGTCTCATTGAGGACAGATAGAGAGCAGACTGTGCAACCTTTAGAGGCTGCACTGGGCCTAGGTCTCATTGAGGACAGATAGAGGGCAGACTGTGCAACCTTTAGAGTCTGCATTGGGCCTAGGTCTCATTGAGGACCGATAGAGAGCAGACTGTGCAACCTTTAGAGTCTGCACTGGGCCTAGGTCTCATTGAGGGCAGATAGAGACCATACTGTGCAACCTTTAGAGTCTGCATTGGGCCTAGGTCTCACTGAGGAGAGATAGAGAGCACACTGTGTAACCTTTAGAGACTGCATAGGGCCTCGGTCTCATTGAGGACCGATAGAGAGCAGACTGTGCCACCTTTAGAGTCTGCATTGGGCCTGGGTCTCATTGAGGACAAATAGAGAGCAGACTGTGCAACCTTTAGAGTCTGCATTGGGCCTAGGTCTCATTGAGGACAGATGGAGAGCAGACTGTGCAACCTATAGAGTCTGCATTGGGCCTAGGTCTCATTGAGGACAGATGGAAAGCAGACTGTGCAACCTTTAGAGTCTGCATTGGACCTAGGTCTCATTGAGGACAGATAGAGAGCAGACTATGCAAACTTTAGAGGCTGGACTGAGCCTAGGTCTCATTGAGGACAGATAGAGAGCAGACTGTGCAACCTTTACAGTCTGCATTGGGCCTGGGCCTCATTCAGGACAGATAGAGACCAGACTGCGCAACCTTTAGAGTCTGCATTGGGCCTAGGTCTCATTGAGAGTAGATAGAGAGCAGACTGTGCAACCTTTAGAGTCTACATTGGGCCTAGGTCTCATTGAGGGCAGATAGAGAGCAGACTGTGCAACCTTTAGAGTCTGCACTTGGCCTAGGTCTCATTGAGGACACATAGAGAGCAGACTGTGCAACCTTTAGAGTCTGCATTGGGCCTAGGTCTCGTTGAGGGCAGATAGAGAGCAGACTGTGCAAACTTTAGAGTTTGCATTGGGCCTAGGTCTCATTGAGGAGAGATAGAGAGCAGACTGTGCAACCTTTAGAGTCTGCATTGGGCCTAGGTCTCATTGAGGACAGATGGAGAGCACACTGTGCAACCTTTAGAGTCCGCATTGGGCCTAGGTCTCATTGAGGACAGATAGAGACCAGACTGTGCAACCTTTAGTGTTTGCATTGGGCCTAGGTCTCATTGAGGGCAGATAGAGAGCAGAATGTGCAACCCTTAGAGTCTGCATTGGGCCTAGGTCTCATTGAGGACAGATAGAGAGCAGACTGTGCAACCTTTAGAGTCTGCACTGGGCCTAGGTCTCTTTGAGGACAGACAGAGAGCAGACTGTGCAAACTTTAGAGTCTGCACTGGGCCTAGGTCTCATTGAGGACAGATATAGAGGAGACTGTGTAACCTTTAGAGTCTGCATTGGGCCTGGGTCTCATTGAGGACAGATAGAGAACAGACTGTGCAACCTTTAGAGTCTGCATTGGGTCTAGGTCTCATTGAGGGCAGTTAGAGAGCAGACTGTGCCACCTTTAGAGTCTGCATTGGGCCTAGGTCTCATCGACAGCAGATAGAGAGCACACTGTGCAACCTCTAGAGTCGGCATTGGGCCTAGGTCTCATTGAGGACAGATAGAGACCAGACTGTTAAAACTTTAGAGTCTGCATTGGGCCTAGGTCTAATTGAGGACAGATAGAGGGCAGACTGTGCAACCTTTAGAGTCTGCATTGGGCCTAGGTCTCATTGAGGGCAGATAGAGAGCAGGCTCGGGAACCCTTAGAGTCTGCATTGGGCCTAGATCTCATTGAGGACAGATAGAGAGCATACTATGCAACCTTTAGAGTCTGCATTGGGCCTAGGTCTCATTGAGAGCACATAGAGAGCAGACTGTGCAACCTTTAGAGTCTGCATTGGGCCTATGTCTCATTGAGGACAGTTAGAGAGCAGGCTGTGCAACCTTTACAGTCTGCATTTGGCCTAGGTCTCATTGAGGACAGAAAGAGACCAGAGTGCGCAAACTTTAGAGTCTGCATTGGGCCTAGGTCTCATTGAGGACAGATAGAGAGCAGACTGTAGAACCTTTATAGTCTGCATTGGGCCTAGGTCTCATTGAGGTCAGATAGAGAGCAGACTGTGCAAGCTTTAGAGTCTGCACTTGGCCTAGGTCTCATTGAGGACAGATAGAGAACAGACTGTGCAACCTTTAGAGTCTGCATTGGGCCTAGGTCTCATTGAGGGCAGTTAGAGAGCAGACTGTGCAACCTTTAGAGTCTGCATTGGGCCTAGGTCTCATTGAGAGCAGATAGAGAGCACACTGTGCAACCTCTAGAGTCGGCATTGGGCCTAGGTCTCATTGAGGACAGATAGAGACCAGACTGTGCAAACTTTAGAGTCTGCATTGGGCCTAGGTCTCATTGAGGACAGATAGAGGGCAGACTGTGCAACCTTTAGAGTCTGCATTGAGCCTAGGTCTCATTGAGGACAGATAGAGAGCAGACTGTGCAACCTTTCGAGTCTGCACTGGGCCTAGGTCTCATTGAGGGCATATAGAGACCATACTGTGCAAACTTTAGAGTCTGCATTGGGTCTAGGTCTCACTGAGGAGAGATAGAGAGCAGACTTTGCAAACTTTAGAGTCTGCATTAGGTCTAGGTCTCACTGAGGACTGATAGAGAGCAGACTATGCAACTTTAGAGTCTGCACTGGCCCTAGGTCTCATTGAGGACAGATAGAGAGCAGACTGCGCAAACTTTAGAGTCTGCATTGGGTCTAGGTCTCATTGAGGACAGATAGAGAGCACACTGTGTAACCTTTAGAGTCTGCATAGAGCCTCGGTCTCATTGAGGACCGATAGAGAGCAGACTGTGCCACCTTTAGAGTCTGCATTGGGCCTGGGTCTCACTGAGGAGAAATAGAGAGCAGACTGTGCAACCTTTAGAGTCTGCATTGGGCCTAGGTCTCATTGAGGACAGATGGAGAGCAGACTGTGCAACCTTTAGAGTCTGCATTGGGCCTAGGTCTCATTGAGGGCAGATAGAGAGCAGACTGTGCAACCTTTAGAGTCTGCATTGGGCCTAGGTCTCATTGAGAGCAGATAGAGAGCATACTGTGCAACCTTTAGAGTCGGCATTGGGCCTAGGTCTCATTGAGGACAGATAGAGACCAGACTGTGCAACCTTTAGAGTCTGCATTGGGCCTAGGTCTCATTGAGGACAGATAGAGAGCAGACTATGCAACCATTAGAGTCGACACTGGTCCTAGGTCTCATTGAGGACAGATATAGAGCAGACTGTGCAACCTTTAGAGTCTGCATTGTGCATGGGTCTCATTGAGGACAGATAGAGAGCAGACTAGGCAACCATTAGAGTCGACACTGGTCCTAGGTCTAATTGAGGACAGATATAGTGCAGACTGTGCAACCTTTAGAGTCTGCATTGGGCCTGGGTCTCATTGAGGACAGATAGAGACCAGACTGTGCAACCTTTAGAGTCTGCACTGGGCCTAGGTCTCATTGAGGACAGATAGAGGGCAGACTGTGCAACCTTTAGAGTCTGCATTGGGCCTAGGTCTCATTGAGGACAGATAGAGAGCAGACTGTGCAACCTTTAGAGTCTGCACTGGGCCTAGGTCTCATTGAGGGCAGATAGAGACCATACTGTGCAACCTTTAGAATCTGCATTGGGTCTAGGTCTCACTGAGGAGAGATAGAGAGCAGACTTTGCAAACTTTAGAGTCTGCATTGGGTCTAGGTCTCACTGAGGACTGATAGAGAGCAGACTATGCAACCTTTAGAGTCTGCACTGGCACTAGGTCTCATTGAGGACAGATACAGAGCAGACTGCGCAAACTTTAGAGTCTGCATTGGGCCTAGGTCTCATTGAGGACAGATAGAGAGCACACTGTGTAACCTTTAGAGTCTGCATAGGGCCTCGGTCTCTATGAGGACCGATAGAGAGCAGACTGTGCAACCTTTAGAGTCTGCATTGGGCCTGGGTCTCATTGAGGACAAATAGAGAGCAGACTGTGCAACCTTTAGAGTCTGCATTGGGCCTAGGTCTCATTGAGGAGAGATGGAGAGCAGACTGTGCAACCTTTAGAGTCTGCATTGGGCCTAGGTCTCATTGAGAGCAGATAGAGAGCAGAGTGTGCAACCTTTAGAGTCTGCATTGGGCCTAGGTCTCATTGAGGGCAGATAGAGACCAGACTGTGCAACCTTTAGAGTCTGCATTGGGCCTAGGTCTCATTGAGAGCAGATAGAGAGCAGACTGTGCAACCTTTAGAGTCTGCATTGAGCCTAGGTCTCATTGAGGAGAGATAGAGAGCAGACTGTGCAACCTTTAGAGTCTGCATTGGGCCTAGGTCTCATTGAGGACAGATGGAGAGCACACTGTGCAACCTTTAGAGTCCGCATTGGGCCTAGGTGTCATTGAGGACAGATAGAGACCAGACTGTGCAACCTTTAGAGTCTGCATTGGGCCTAGGTCTCCTTGAGGTCAGATAGACAGCAGACTCTGCAACCTTTAGAGTCTGCATTGGGCCTAGGTCTAATTGCGGACAGATAGACAGCAGACTGTGCAACGTTTAGAGTCTGCATTGGGCCTAGGTCTAATTGCGGACAGATAGAGAGCAGACTATGCAACGTTTAGAGTCTGCATTGGGCCTGGGTCTCATTGAGGACAGATAGAGAGCAGACTGTGCAACCTTTAGAGTCTCTATTGGGCCTAGGTCTCATTGAGGACAGATAGGGAGCGGACTGTGCAACCTTTAGAGTCTGCATTGGGCCTAGGTCTCATTGACGGCAGACAGAGAGCAGGCTCGGCAACCCTTAGAGTCTGCATTGGGCCTAGATCTCATTGAGGACAGATAGAGAGCATACTATGCAACCTTTAGAGTCTGCACTGGGCTTAGTTCTCATTGAGGAAACATAGAGAGCAGACTGTGCAACCTTTAGAGTCTGCATTAGGCCTATGTCTCATTGAGGACAGTTAGAGAGCAGACTGTGCTACCTTTAGAGTCTGCATTTGGCCTAGGTCTCATTGAGTACAGAAAGAGACCAGAGTGTGCAACCTTTAGAGTCTGCATTGGGCCTGGGTCTCATTGAGGACAGATAGAGAGGAGACTGTAGAACCTTTATAGTCTGCATTGGGCCTAGGTCTCATTGAGGTCAGATAGGGAGCAGACTGGGCAAGCTTTAGAGTCTGCACTTGGCCTAGGTCTCATTGAGGACAGATAGAGAACAGACTGTGCAACCTTTAGAGTCTGCATTCGGCCTAGGTCTCATTGAGGGCAGTTAGAGAGCAGACTGTGCAACCTTTAGAGTCTGCATTGGGCCTAGGTCTCATTGAGAGCAGATAGAGAGCACACTGTGCAACCTCTAGAGTCGGCATTGGGCCTAGGTCTCATTGAGGACAGATAGAGACCAGACTGTGCAAACTTTAGAGTCTGCATTGGGCCTAGGTCTCATTGAGGACAGATACAGGGCAGACTGTGCAACCTTTAGAGTCTGCATTGGGCCTAGGTCTCATTGAGGTCAGATAGAGAGCAGACTGTGCAACCTTTAGAGTCTGCACTGGGCCTAGGTCTCATTGAGGGCAGATAGAGACCATACTGTGCAACCTTTAGAGTCTGCATTGGGTCTAGGTCTCACTGAGGAGAGATAGAGAGCAGACTTTGCAAACTTTAGAGTCTGCATTAGGTCTAGGTCTCACTGAGGACTGATAGAGAGCAGATTATGCAACCTTTAGAGTCTGCACTGGCCCTAGGTCTCATTGAGGACAGATAGAGAGCAGACTGCGCAAACTTTAGAGTCTGCATTGGGCCTAGGTCTCATTGAGGACAGATAGAGAGCACACTGTGTAACCTTTAGAGTCTGCATAGGGCCTCGGTCTCATTGAGGACCGATAGAGAGCAGACTGTGCCACCTTTAGAGTCTGCATTGGGCCTGGGTCTCATTGAGGAGAAATAGAGAGCAGACTGTGCAACCTTTAGAGTCTGCATTGGGCCTAGGTCTCATTGAGGACAGATGGAGAGCAGACTGTGCAACCTTTAGAGTCTGCATTGGGCCTAGGTCTCATTGAGGGCACATAGAGAGCAGACTGTGCAACCTTTAGAGTCTGCATTGGGCCTAGGTCTCATTGAGAGAAGATAGAGAGCATACAGTGCAACCTTTAGAGTCGGCATTGGGCCTAGGTCTCATTGAGGACAGATAGAGACCAGACTGTGAAACCTTTAGAGTCTGCATTGGGCCTAGGTCTCATTGAGGACAGATAGAGAGCAGAGTAGGCAACCATTAGAGTCGGCACTGGTCCTAGGTCTCATTGAGGACAGATATAGAGCAGACTGTGCAACCTTTAGAGTCTGCATTGGGCCTGGGTCTCATTGAGGACAGATAGAGAGCAGACTGTGCAACCTTTAGAGGCTGCACTGGGCCTAGGTCTCATTGAGGACAGATAGAGGGCAGACTGTGCAACCTTTAGAGTCTGCATTGGGCCTAGGTCTCATTGAGGACCGATAGAGAGCAGACTGTGCAACCTTTAGAGTCTGCACTGGGCCTAGGTCTCATTGAGGGCAGATAGAGACCATACTGTGCAACCTTTAGAGTCTGCATTGGGCCTAGGTCTCACTGAGGAGAGATAGAGAGCACACTGTGTAACCTTTAGAGACTGCATAGGGCCTCGGTCTCATTGAGGACCGATAGAGAGCAGACTGTGCCACCTTTAGAGTCTGCATTGGGCCTGGGTCTCATTGAGGACAAATAGAGAGCAGACTGTGCAACCTTTAGAGTCTGCATTGGGCCTAGGTCTCATTGAGGACAGATGGAGAGCAGACTGTGCAACCTATAGAGTCTGCATTGGGCCTAGGTCTCATTGAGGACAGATGGAAAGCAGACTGTGCAACCTTTAGAGTCTGCATTGGACCTAGGTCTCATTGAGGACAGATAGAGAGCAGACTATGCAAACTTTAGAGGCTGGACTGAGCCTAGGTCTCATTGAGGACAGATAGAGAGCAGACTGTGCAACCTTTACAGTCTGCATTGGGCCTGGGCCTCATTCAGGACAGATAGAGACCAGACTGCGCAACCTTTAGAGTCTGCATTGGGCCTAGGTCTCATTGAGAGTAGATAGAGAGCAGACTGTGCAACCTTTAGAGTCTACATTGGGCCTAGGTCTCATTGAGGGCAGATAGAGAGCAGACTGTGCAACCTTTAGAGTCTGCACTTGGCCTAGGTCTCATTGAGGACACATAGAGAGCAGACTGTGCAACCTTTAGAGTCTGCATTGGGCCTAGGTCTCGTTGAGGGCAGATAGAGAGCAGACTGTGCAAACTTTAGAGTTTGCATTGGGCCTAGGTCTCATTGAGGAGAGATAGAGAGCAGACTGTGCAACCTTTAGAGTCTGCATTGGGCCTAGGTCTCATTGAGGACAGATGGAGAGCACACTGTGCAACCTTTAGAGTCCGCATTGGGCCTAGGTCTCATTGAGGACAGATAGAGACCAGACTGTGCAACCTTTAGTGTTTGCATTGGGCCTAGGTCTCATTGAGGGCAGATAGAGAGCAGAATGTGCAACCCTTAGAGTCTGCATTGGGCCTAGGTCTCATTGAGGACAGATAGAGAGCAGACTGTGCAACCTTTAGAGTCTGCACTGGGCCTAGGTCTCTTTGAGGACAGACAGAGAGCAGACTGTGCAAACTTTAGAGTCTGCACTGGGCCTAGGTCTCATTGAGGACACATAGAGAGCAGACTGTGCAACCTTTAGAGTCTGCATTGGGCCTATGTCTCATTGAGGACAGTTAGAGAGCAGACTGTGCAAACTTTAGAGTCTGCATTTGGCCTACGTCTCATTGAGGACAAAAAGAGACCAGAGTGTGCAACCTTTAGAGTCGGCATTGGGACTCGGTCTCATTGAGGACAGATAGAGAGCAGACTGTAGAACCTTCATAGTCTGCATTGGGCCTAGGTCTCATTGAGGTCAGATAGAGAGCAGACTGTGCAAGCTTTAGAGTCTGCACTTGGCCTAGGTCTCATTGAGGACAGATAGAGAGCAGACTGTGCAAACTTTAGAGTCTGCATTGGGCCTAGGTCTCATTGAGGGCAGATAGAGACCAGACTATGCAACGTTTAGAGTCTGCATTGGGCCTAGGTGTCATTGAGGGCAGTTAGAGAGCAGACTGTGCAACCTTTAGAATCTGCATTGGGCCTAGGTCTCATTGAGAGCAGATAGAGAGCACACTGTGCAAACTTTAGAGTCGGCATTGGGCCTAGGTCTCATTGAGGACAGATAGAGACCGGACTGTGCAACCTTTAGAGTCTGCATTGGGCCTAGGTCTCATTGAGGACAGATAGAGAGCACACTAGGCAACCATTAGAGTCCGCACTGGTCCTAGGTCTCATTGAGGACAGATATAGAGCAGACTGTGCAACCTTTAGAGTCTGCATTGGGCCTGGGTCTCATTGAGGACAGATAGCGACCAGACTGTACAACCTTTAGAGTCTGCATTGGGCTTAGGTCTCATTGAGGGCAGTTAGAGAGCAGACTGTGCAACCTTTAGAGTCTGCATTGGGCCTAGGTCTCATTGAGAGCAGATAGAGAGCACACTGTGCAACCTCTAGAGTCGGCATTGGGCCTAGGTCTCATTGAGGACAGATAGAGACCAGACTGTTGAAACTTTAGAGGCTGCATTGGGCCTAGGTCTCATTGAGGACAGATAGAGGGCAGACTGTGCAACCTTTAGAGTCTGCAATGGACCTAGGTCTCATTGAGGACAGATACGGAGCAGACTGTGCAAACTTTAAAGTCTGCACTGAGCCTAGGTCTCATTGAGGGCAGATAGAGACCAGACTGTGCAACCTTTAGAGTCTGCATTGGGTCTAGGTCTCACTGAGGCGAGATAGAGAGCAGACTTTGCAAACTTTAGAGTCTCCATTGGGTCTAGGTCTCACTGAGGACTGATAGGAGCAGACTATGCAACCTTTAGAGTCTGCACTGGCCCTAGGTCTCATTGAGGACAGATAGAGAGCAGACTGCGCAAACTTTAGAGTCTGCATTGGGCCTAGGTCTCACTGAGGACAGATAGAGAGCACACTGTGTAACCTTTAGAGTCTGCATAGAGCCTCGGTCTCATTGAGGACAGATAGAGAGCAGACTGTGCAACCTTTAGAGTCTCTATTGGGCCTAGATCTCATTGAGGACAGATAGGGAGCGGACTGTGCAACCTTTAGAGTCTGCATTGGGCCTAGGTCTCATTGAGGGCAGATAGAGAGCAGGCTCGGCAACCCTTAGAGTCTGCATTGGGCCTAGATCTTATTGAGGACAGATAGAGAGCATACTATGCAAC
The DNA here is from genome assembly GCF_000001405.40 of Homo sapiens. Taxonomy (NCBI): domain Eukaryota; kingdom Metazoa; phylum Chordata; class Mammalia; order Primates; family Hominidae; genus Homo; species Homo sapiens. Next base: position 102,281 of record NC_000024.10, on the reverse strand, counting down.
CTTGAGAGTCTGCACTGGGCCTAGGTCTCATTGAGGACACATAGAGAGCAGACTGTGCAACCTTTAGAGTCTGCATTGGGCCTATGTCTCATTGAGGACAGTTAGAGAGCAGACTGTGCAACCTTTAGAGTCTGCATTTGGCCTAGGTCTCATTGAGGACAGAAAGAGACCAGAGTGTGCAACCTTTAGAGTTTGCATTGGGCCTAGGTCTCATTGAGGACAGATAGAGAGCAGACTGTAGAACCTTTATAGTCTGCATTGGGCCTAGGTCTCATTGAGGTCAGATAGAGAGCAGACTGTGCAAGCTTTAGAGTCTACACTTGGCCTAGGTCTCATTGAGGACAGATAGAGAACAGACTGTGCAACCTTTAGAGTCTGCATTGGGCCTAGGTCTCATTGAGGGCAGATAGAGACCAGACTGTGCAACCTTTAGAGTTTGCATTGGGCCTAGGTCTCATTGAGGGCAGATAGAGAGCAGACTGTGCCACCTTTAGAGTCTACATTGGGCCTAGGTCTCATTGAGGACAGATAGAGAGCAGACTGTGCAACCTTTATAGTCTGCACTGGGCCTAGGTCTCTTTGAGGACAGACAGAGAGCAGACTGTGCAAACTTTAGAGTCTGCACTGGGCCTAGGTGTCATTGAGGACAGATAGAGACCAGACTGTGCAACCTTTAGAGTCTGCATTGGGCCTAGGTCTCCTTGAGGTCAGATAGGCAGCAGACTGTGCAACCTTTAGAGTCTGCATTGGGTCTAGGTCTAATTGCGGACAGATGGAGAGCAGACTATGCAAAGTTTACAGTCTGCATTGGGCCTGGGTCTCATTGAGGACAGATAGAGAGCAGACTGTGCAACCTTTAGAGTCTCTATTGGGCCTAGGTCTCATTGAGGACAGATAGAGAGCAGACTGTGCAACCTTTAGAGTCTGCATTGGGCCTAGGTCTCATTGAGGGCAGATAGAGAGCAGGCTCGGCAACCCTTAGAGTCTGCGTTGGGCTTAGATCTCATTGAGGACAGATAGAGAGCATACTATGCAACCTTTAGAGTCTGCACTGGGCCTAGGTCTCATTGAGGACACATAGAGAGCAGACTGTGGAACCTTTAGAGTCTGCATTGGGCCTATGTCTCAATGAGGACAGTTAGAGAGCAGACTGTGCAACCTTTAGAGTCTGCATTGGGCCTAGGTCTCATTGAGGACAGATAGAGAGCAGACTGTAGAACCTTTATAGTCTGCATTGGGCCTAGGTCTCATTGAGGTCAGATAGAGAGCAGACTGTGCAAGCTTTAGAGTCTGCACTTGGCCTAGGTCTCATTGAGGACAGATAGAGAGCAGACTGTGCAACCTTTAGAGTCTGCATTGGGCCTAGGTGTCATTGAGGGCAGATAGAGACCAGACTATGCAACGTTTAGAGTCTGCATTGGGCCTAGGTGTCATTGAGGGCAGTTAGAGAGCAGACTGTGCTACCTTTAGAGTCTGCATTAGGCCTAGGTCTCATTGAGAGCAGATAGAGAGCACACTGTGCAAACTTTAGAGTCGGCATTGGGCCTAGGTCTCATTGAGGACAGATAGAGACCGGACTGTGCAACCTTTAGAGTCTGCATTGGGCCTAGGTCTCATTGAGGACAGATAAAGAGCAGACTAGGCAACCATTAGAGTCGGCACTGGTCCTAAGTCTCATTGAGGACAGATATAGAGGAGACTGTGTAACCTTTAGAGTCTGCATTGGGCCTGGGTCTCATTGAGGACAGATAGCGACCAGACTGTGCAACCTTTAGAGTCTGCATTGGGTCTAGGTCTCATTGAGGGCAGTTAGAGAGCAGACTGTGCCACCTTTAGAGTCTGCATTGGGCCTAGGTCTCATCGACAGCAGATAGAGAGCACACTGTGCAACCTCTAGAGTCGGCATTGGGCCTAGGTCTCATTGAGGACAGATAGAGACCAGACTGTTAAAACTTTAGAGTCTGCATTGGGCCTAGGTCTAATTGAGGACAGATAGAGGGCAGACTGTGCAACCTTTAGAGTCTGCATTGGGCCTAGGTCTCATTGAGGACAGATACAGAGCAGACTGTGCAAACTTTAAAGTCTGCACTGAACCTAGGTCTCATTGAGGGCAGATAGAGACCATAATGTGCAACCTTTAGAGTCTGCATTGGGTCTAGGTCTCACTGAGGAGAGATAGAGAGCAGACTTTGCAAACTTTAGAGTCTCCATTGGGTCTAGGTCTCACTGAGGACTGATAGAGAGCAGACTATGCAACCTTTAGAGTCTGCACTGGCCCTAGGTCTCATTGAGGACACATAGAGAGCAGACTGCGCAAACTTTAGAGTCTGCATTGGGCCTAGGTCTCACTGAGGACAGATAGAGAGCACACTGTGTAACCTTTAGAGTCTGCATAGGGCCTCGGTCTCATTGAGGACCGATAGAGAGCAGACTGTGCCACCTTTAGAGTCTGCATTGGGCCTGGGTCTCATTGAGGACAAATAGAGAGCAGACTGTGCAACCTTTAGAGTCTGCATTGGGCCTAGGTCTCATTGAGGACAGATAGAGAGCAGACTGTGCAACCTTTAGAGTCTGCATTGGGCCTAGGTCTCATTGAGGGCAGATAGAGAGCAGACTGTGCAACCTTTAGAGTCTGCACTGGGCCTAGGTCTCATCGAGGACAGATAGAGAGCAGACTGTGCAACCTTTAGAGTCTGCATTGGACCTAGGTCTCATTGAGGACAGATAGAGAGCAGACTATGCAAACTTTACAGTCTGCACTGGGCCTAGGTCTCATTGAGGACAGATAGAGACCAGAGTGTGCAACCTTTAGAGTCTGCATTGGGCCTAGGTCTCATTGAGGACAGACAGAGAGCAGACTGTAGAACCTTTATAGTCTGCATTGGGCCTAGGTCTCATTGAGGTCAGATAGAGAGCAGACTGTGCAAGCTTTAGAGTCTGCACTTGGCCTAGGTCTCATTGAGGACAGATAGAGAGCAGACTGTGCAACCTTTAGAGTCTGCATTGGGCCTAGGTCTCATTGAGGACAGATAGAGACCAGACTGTGCAACCTTTATAGTCTGCACTGGGCCTAGGTCTCATTGAGGAGAGATAGAGAGCAGACTGCGCAACCTTTAGAGTCTTCATTGGGCCTAGGTCTCATTGAGGGCAGATAGAGACCAGAGTGTTCAACCTTTAGAGTCTGCATTGGGCCTAGGTCTCATTGAGGACAGATAGAGAGCAGACTGTAGAAACTTTATAGTCTGCATTGGGCCTAGGTCTCATTGAGGTCAGATAGAGAACAGACTGTGCAAGCTTTAGAGTCTGCACTTGGCCTAGGTCTCATTGAGGACAGATAGAGAACAGACTGTGCAACCTTTAGAGTCTGCACTAGGCCTAGGTCTCATTGAGGACAGATAGAGAGCAGACTGTGCAACCTTTAGAGTCTGCATTGGACCTAGGTCTCATTGAGGACAGATAGAGAGCAGACTATGCAAACTTTAGAGGCTGCACTGAGCCTAGGTCTCATTGAGGACAGATAGAGAGCAGACTGTGCAACCTTTACAGTCTGCATTGGATCTGGGCCTCATTCAGGACAGATAGAGACCAGACTGTGCAACCTTTAGAGTCTGCATTGGGCCTAGGTCTCATTGAGAGCAGATAGAGAGCAGACTGTGCAACCTTTAGAGTCTGCATTGGGCCTAGGTCTCATTGAGGGCAGATAGAGAGCAGACTGTGCAAACTTTAGAGTCTGCATTGGGCCTAGGTCTCATTGAGGAGAGATAGAGAGCAGACTGTGCAACCTTTAGAGTCTGCATTGGGCCTAGGTCTCATTGAGGACAGATGGAGAGCACACTGTGCAACCTTTAGAGTCCGCATTGGGCCTAGGTCTCATTGAGGACAGATAGAGACCAGACTGTGCAACTTTAGAGTCTGCATTGGGCCTAGGTCTCATTGAGGGCAGATAGAGAGCAGACTGTGCAACCTTTAGAGTCTGCACTGGGCCTAGGTCTCATTGAGGACAGATAGAGAGCAGACTGTGCAACCTTTAGAGTCTGCACTGTGCCTAGGTCTCTTTGAGGACAGACAGAGAGCAGACTGTGCAAACTTTAGAGTCTGCACTGGGCCTAGGTGTCATTGAGGACAGATAGAGACCAGACTGTGCAACCTTTAGAGTCTGCATTGGGCCTAAGTCTCCTTGAGGTCAGATAGACAGCAGACTGTGCAACCTTTAGAGTCTGCATTGGGCCTAGGTCTAATTGCGGACAGACAGAGAGCAGACTATGCAACGTTTAGAGTCTGCATTGGGCCTGGGTCTCATTGAGGACAGATAGAGTGCAGACTGTGCAACCTTTAGAGTCTCTATTGGGCCTAGGTCTCATTGAGGACAGATAGAGAGCGGACTGTGCAACCTTTAGAGTCTGCATTGGGCCTAGGTCTCATTGAGGGCAGATAGAGAGCAGGCTCGGCAACCCTTAGAGTCTGCATTGGGCTTAGATCTCATTGAGGACAGATAGAGAGCATACTATGCAACCTTTAGAGTCTGCACTGGGCCTAGGTCTCATTGAGGACACATAGAGAGCAGACTGTGCAACCTTTAGAGTCTGCATTGGGCCTATGTCTCATTGAGGACAGTTAGAGAGCAGACTGTGCAACCTTTAGAGTCTGCATTTGGCCTAGGTCTCATTGAGGACAGAAAGAGACCAGAGTGTGCAACCTTTAGAGTCTGCATTGGGCCTAGGTCTCATTGAGGACAGATAGAGAGCAGACTGTAGAACCTTTATAGTCTGCATTGGGCCTAGGTCTCATTGAGGTCAGATAGAGAGCAGACTGTGCAAGCTTTAGAGTCTGCACTTGGCCTAGGTCTCATTGAGGACAGATAGAGAGCAGACTGTGCAACCTTTAGAGTCTGCATTGGGCCTAGGTCTCATTGAGGGCAGATAGAGACCAGACTATGCAACGTTTAGAGTCTGCATTGGGCCTAGGTGTCATTGAGGGCAGTTAGAGAGCAGACTGTGCTACCTTTAGAGTCTGCATTGGGCCTAGGTCTCATTGAGAGCAGATAGAGAGCACACTGTGCAAACTTTAGAGTCGGCATTGGGCCTAGGTCTCATTGAGGACAGATAGAGACCGGACTGTGCAACCTTTAGAGTCTGCATTGGGCCTAGGTCTCATTGAGGACAGATAAAGAGCAGACTAGGCAACCATTAGAGTCGGCACTTTTCCTAGGTCTCATTGAGGACAGATATAGAGCAGACTGTGCAACCTTTAGAGTCTGCATTGGGTCTGGGTCTCATTGAGGACAGATAGCGACCAGACTGTGCAACCTTTAGAGTCTGCTTTGGGCTTAGGTCTCATTGAGGGCAGTTAGAGAGCAGACTGTGCAACCTTTAGAGTCTGCATTGGGTCTAGGTCTCATTGAGAGCAGATAGAGAGCACACTGTGCAACCTCTAGAGTCGGCATTGGGCCTAGGTCTCATTGAGGACAGATAGAGACCAGACTGTTAAAACTTTAGAGTCTGCATTGGGCCTAGGTCTCATTGAGGACAGATAGAGGGCAGACTGTGCAACCTTTAGAGTCTGCATTGGTCCTAGGTCTCATTGAGGACAGATAGAGAGCAGACTGCGCAAACTTTAGAGTCTGCATTGGGCCTAGGTCTCACTGAGGACAGATAGAGAGCACACTGTGTAACCTTTAGAGTCTGCATAGGGCCTCGGTCTCATTGAGGACCGATAGAGAGCAGACTGTGCAACCTTTAGAGTCTGCATTGGGCCTGGGTCTCATTGAGGACAAATAGAGAGCAGACTGTGCAACCTTTAGAGTCTGCATTGGGCCTAGGTCTCATTGAGGACAGATAGAGAGCAGACTGTGCAACCTTTAGAGTCTGCATTGGGCCTAGGTCTCATTGAGGGCAGATAGAGAGCAGACTGTGCAACCTTTAGAGTCTGCACTAGGCCTAGGTCTCATCGAGGACAGATAGAGAGCAGACTGTGCAACCTTTAGAGTCTGCATTGGACCTAGGTCTCATTGAGGACAGATAGAAAGCAGACTATGCAAACTTTACAGTCTGCACTGGGCCTAGGTCTCATTGAGGACAGATAGAGACCAGAGTGTGCAACCTTTAGAGTCTGCATTGGGCCTAGGTCTCATTGAGGACAGATAGAGAGCAGACTGTAGAACCTTTATAGTCTGCATTGGGCCTAGGTCTCATTGAGGTCAGATAGAGAGCAGACTGTGCAAGCTTTAGAGTCTGCACTTGGCCTAGGTCTCATTGAGGACAGATAGAGAGCAGACTGTGCAACCTTTAGAGTCTGCATTGGGCCTAGGTCTCATTGAGGACAGATAGAGACCAGACTGTGCAACCTTTATAGTCTGCACTGGGCCTAGGTCTCATTGAGGACAGATAGAGAGCAGACTGCGCAACCTTTAGAGTCTTCATTGGTCCTAGGTCTCATTGAGGGCAGATAGAGACCAGACTATGCAACCTTTAGAGTCTGCATTGGGCCTAGGTCTCATTGAGGGCAGATAGAGAGCAGACTGTGCAACCTTTAGAGTATGCATTGGGCCTAGGTCTCATTGAGGGCAGATAGAGAGCAGACTGTGCAACGTTTAGAGTCTGCATTGTGCCTAAGTCTCATTGAGGACAGATAGAGAGCAGACTGTGCAACCTTTCGAGTCTGCACTGGGCCTAGGTCTCATTGAGGGCAGATAGGGACCAGAGTATGCAACCTTTAGAGTCTGCACTGGGCCTAGGTCTCATTGAGGGCAGATAGAGACCAGACTATGCAACCTTTAGAGTCTGCATTGGGACCCCAGAAATCCTAAACTTTGTGTGGTCTAAGGACGGTTGGAGAGCCACGTCTGGACCATCCCTGTGGCTGCCACCTGAATGGCGGCCAGCACGAGATCTTATGCTTGCACACTGTGCCTGCAAGGGTGGGAGGGGCTGGCTTATCTCAGACAACCTCCTGATAGTGGGGTAAACCAAAAATAGAATTCTAAGCCCCTCAGCTGACTGAGTGGACCTGTTTGTAGCCAAGGGGATCCCAAAGAAACCTGAAAAACAACTCAGGCCGTGACAGGAAGAGGGGATCTCGGGCCGTGACAGGAAGAGGGAGTCTCGGGCCGTGACAGGAAGAGGGAGTCTCGGGCCGTGACAGGAAGAGGGAGTCTCGGGCCGTGACTGGAAGAGGGGGTCTCGGGCCGTGACAGGAAGAGGGGGTCTCGGGCCGTGACAGGAAGAGGGGGTCTCGGGCCGTGACAGGAAGAGGGGGTCTCGGGCCGTGACAGGAAGAGGGGGTCTCGGGCCGTGACAGGAAGAGGGGGTCTCGGGCCGTGACAGGAAGAGGGAGTCTCGGGCCGTGACAGGAAGAGGGAGTCTCGGGCCGTGATAGGAAGAGGGAGTCTCGGGCCGTGACAGGAAGAGGGGATCTCGGGCCGTGACAGGAAGAGGGAGTCTCGGGCCGTGACAGGAAGAGGG
>NC_000024.10:10000-44821 GCF_000001405.40 Homo sapiens | reverse complement strand
TATCTGTCCTCAATGAGACCTAGGCCCAATGCAGACTCTAAAGTTTGCACACTCTGGTCTCTTTCTGTCCTCAATGAGACCTAGGCCAAATGCAGACTCTAAAGGTTGCACAGTCTGCTCTCTAACTGTCCTCAATGAGACATAGGCCCAATGCAGACTCTAAAGGTTGCACAGTCTGCTCTCTATGTGTCCTCAATGAGACCTAGGCCCAGTGCAGACTCTAAAGGTTGCATAGCATGCTCTCTATCTGTCCTCAATGATATCTAGGCCCAATGCAGACTCTAAGGGTTGCCGAGCCTGCTCTCTATCTGCCCTCAATGAGACCTAGGCCCAATGCAGACTCTAAAGGTTGCACAGTCCGCTCCCTATCTGTCCTCAATGAGACCTAGGCCCAATAGAGACCCTAAAGGTTGCACAGTCTGCTCTCTATCTGTCCTCAATGAGACCCAGGCCCAATGCAGACTCTAAACGTTGCATAGTCTGCTCTCTATCTGTCCGCAATTAGACCTAGGCCCAATGCAGACTCTAAACGTTGCACAGTCTGCTGTCTATCTGTCCGCAATTAGACCTAGGCCCAATGCAGACTCTAAAGGTTGCAGAGTCTGCTGTCTGTCTGACCTCAAGGAGACCTAGGCCCAATGCAGACTCTAAAGGTTGCACAGTCTGGTCTCTATCTGTCCTCAATGACACCTAGGCCCAGTGCAGACTCTAAAGTTTGCACATTCTGCTCTCTGTCTGTCCTCAAAGAGACCTAGGGCCAGTGCAGACTCTAAAGGTTGCACAGTCTCCTCTCTATTTGTCCTCACTGATACCTAGGCCCATTGTAGACTCTAAAGGTTGCACAGTCTGCCCTCTATCTGTCCTCAATGAGACCTAGGCCCAATGCAGACTCTAAAGTTTCAACAGTCTGGTCTCTATCTGTCCTCAATGAGACCTAGGCCCAATGCCGACTCTAGAGGTTGCACAGTGTGCTCTCTATCTGCTCTCAATGAGACCTAGGCCCAATGCAGACTCTAAAGGTTGCACAGTCTGCTCTCTAACTGCCCTCAATGAGACCTAAGCCCAATGCAGACTCTAAAGGTTGCACAGTCTGGTCGCTATCTGTCCTCAATGAGACCCAGGCCCAATGCAGACTCTAAAGGTTGCACAGTCTGCTCTATATCTGTCCTCAATGAGACCTAGGACCAGTGCCGACTCTAATGGTTGCCTAGTCTGCTCTCTATCTGTCCTCAATGAGACGTAGGCCCAATGCAGACTCTAAAGGTTGCACAGTCCGGTCTCTATCTGTCCTCAATGAGACCTAGGCCCAATGCCGACTCTAAAGTTTGCACAGTGTGCTCTCTATCTGCTCTCAATGAGACCTAGGCCCAATGCAGACTCTAAAGGTTGCACAGTCTGCTCTCTAACTGCCCTCAATGAGACCTAGGCCCAATGCAGACTCTAAACGTTGCATAGTCTGGTCTCTATCTGCCCTCAATGAGACCTAGGCCCAATGCAGACTCTAGAGTTTGCACAGTCTGCTCTCTATCTGTCCTCAATGAGACCTAGGCCAAGTGCAGACTCTAAAGCTTGCACCGTCTGCTCTCTATCTGACCTCAATGAGACCTAGGCCCAATGCAGACTATAAAGTTTCTACAGTCTGCTCTCTATCTGTCCTCAATGAGACCTAGGCCCAATGCTGACTCTAAAGGTTGCACACTCTGGTCTGTTTCTGTCCTCAATGAGACCTAGGCCAAATGCAGACTCTAAAGGTTGCACAGTCTGCTCTCTAACTGTCCTCAATGAGACATAGGCCCAATGCAGACTCTAAAGGTTGCACAGTCTGCTCTCTATGTGTCCTCAATGAGACCTAGGCCCAATGCAGACTCTAAAGGTTGCATAGTATGCTCTCTATCTGTCCTCAATAAGATCTAGGCCCAATGCAGACTCTAAGGGTTGCCGAGCCTGCTCTCTATCTGCCCTCAATGAGACCTAGGCCCAATGCAGACTCTAAAGGTTGCACAGTCCGCTCTCTATCTGTCCTCAATGAGACCTAGGCCCAATAGAGACTCTAAAGGTTGCACAGTCTGCTCTCTATCTGTCCTGAATGAGACCCAGGCCCAATGCAGACTCTAAACGTTGCATAGTCTGCTCTCTATCTGTCCGCAATTAGACCTAGGCCCAATGCAGACTCTAAAGGTTGCACAGTCTGCTGTCTATCTGACCTCAAGGAGACCTAGGCCCAATGCAGACTCTAAAGGTTGCACAGTCTGGTCTCTTTCTGTCCTCAATGACACCTAGGCCCAGTGCAGACTCTAAAGTTTGCACAGTCTGCTCTCTGTCTGTCCTCAAAGAGACCTAGGCCCAGTGCAGACTCTAAAGGTTGCACAGTCTGCTCTCTATCTGTCCTCAATGAGACCTAGGCCCAATGCAGACTCTAAAGGTTGCACAGTTTGCTCTCTATCTGCCCTCAATGAGACCTAGGTCCAATGCAAACTCTAAAGTTTGCACAGTCTGGTCTCTATCTGTCCTCAATGAGACCTAGGCCCAATGCCGACTCTAGAGGTTGCACAGTGTGCTCTCTATCTGCTCTCAATGAGACCTATGCCCAATGCAGACTCTAAAGGTTGCGCAGTCTGCTCTCTAAATGCCCTCAATGAGACCTAGGCCCAATGCAGACTCTAGAGGTTGCACAGTCTGCTCTCTATCTGTCCTCAATGAGACCTAGGCCCAGTGCAGACTCTAAAGGTTGCTCAGTCTGCTCTCTATCTGTCCTCAATGAGACCCAGGCACAATGCAGACTCTAAAGGTTGCACAGTCTGCTCTATATCTGTCCTCAATGAGACCTAGGACCAGTGCCGACTCTAATGGTTGCCTAGTCTGCTCTCTATCTGTCCTGAATGAGACCTAGGCCCAATGCCGACTCTAAAGGTTGCACAGTATGCTCTCTATCTGCTCTCAATGAGACCTAGGCCCAATGCAGACTCTAAAGGTTGCACAGTCTGCTCTCTATCTGTCCTCAATGAGACCTAGGCCCAGTGCAGACTCTAAAGGTTGCACAGTCTGCTCTCTATCTGCCCTCAATGAGACCTAGGCCCAATGCAGACTCTAAAGTTTGCACAGTCTGGTCTCTATCTGTCCTCAATGAGACCCAGGCCCAATGCAGACTGTAAAGGTTGCACAGTCTGCTCTATATGTGTCCTCAATGAGACCTAGGCCCAGTGCCGACTCTAAAGGTTGCCTAGTCTGCTCTCTATCTGTCCTCAATGAGACCTAGGTCCAATGCAGTCCCTAAAGGTTGCACAGTCTGCTCTCTATTTGTCCTCAGTGAGACCCAGGCCCAATGCAGACTCTAAAGGTTGCACAGTCTGCTCTCCATCGGTCCTCAATGAGACCGAGGCCCAATTCGGACTCTAAAGGTTGCACAGTCTGCTCTCTATCTGTCTTCAATGAGACCTAGGCCCAATGCAGACTCTAAAGTTTGCACAGTCTGCTCTCTGTCTGCCCTCAATGAGCCCTAGACCCAATGCAGACTCTAAAGGTTGCACAGTCTGCTCTCTATCTGTCCTCAATGAGACCTAGGCCCAATGCAGACTCTAAAGGTTGCACAGTCTGCTCTCTAACTGCCCTCAATGAGACCTAGGCCCAATGCAGACTCTAATGGTTGCACAGTCTGCTCTCTATCTGTCCTCAATGAGACTCAGGCTCAATGCAGTCTCTAAAGGTTGCACAGTCTGCTCTCTATCTGTCCTCAATGAGACCTAGGCCCAATGCAGACTCTAAAGGTTGCACCGTCTGCTCTCTATCTGCCCTCAATGAGACCTAGGCCCAATGCAGACTCTAAAGGTTGTACAGTCGGCTCTCTACCTGCCCTCATTGAGACCTAGGCCCAATGCAGACTGTAAAGGTTGCACCGTCTGTTCTCTATCTGCCCTCAATGAGACGTAGGCCCAATGCAGACTCTAAAGGTTGTGCAGTCTGCTCTCTATGTGCCCTCAATGAGACCTAGGCCCAATGCAGACTCTAAAGGTTGCACAGTCTGCTCTCTATCTGTCCTCAATGAGACCCAGGCTCAATGCAGTCTCTAAAGGTTGCACAGTGTGCTCTCTATCTGACCTCAATGAGACCTTGGCCCAATGCAGACTCTAAAGGTTGCACAGTCGGCTCTCTACCTGCCCTCAATGAGACCTAGGCCCAATGCAGATTCTAAAGGTTGCACAGTCTGCTCTCTATCGGTCCTCAATGAGACCGAGGCTCTATGCAGACTCTAAAGGTTACACAGTGTGCTCTCTATCTGTCCTCAATGAGACCCAGACCCAATGCAGACTCTAAAGTTTGCGCAGTCTGCTCTCTATCTGTCCTCAATGAGACCTAGGGCCAGTGCAGACTCTAAAGTTGCATAGTCTGCTCTCTATCAGTCCTCAGTGAGACCTAGACCTAATGCAGACTCTAAAGTTTGCAAAGTCTGCTCTCTATCTCTCCTCAGTGAGACCTAGACCCAATGCAGACTCTAAAGTTTGCACAGTATGGTCTCTATATGCCCTCAATGAGACCTAGGCCCAGTGCAGACTCGAAAGGTTGCACAGTCTGCTCTCTATCTGTCCTCAATGAGACCTAGGCTCAATGCAGACTCTAAAGGTTGCACAGTCTGCCCTCTATCTGTCCTCAATGAGACCTAGGCCCAATGCAGACTCTAAAGTTTGCACAGTCTGGTCTCTATCTGTCCTCAATGAGACCTAGGCCCAATGCCGACTCTAGAGGTTGCACAGTGTGCTCTCTATCTGCTCTCAATGAGACCTAGGCCCAATGCAGACTCTAAAGGTTGCACAGTCTGCTCTCTAACTGCCCTCAATGAGACCTAGGCCCAATGCAGACTCTAAAGGTTGCACAGTCTGTTCTCTATCTGTCCTCAATGAGACCTAGGCCAAGTGCAGACTCTAAAGCTTGCACAGTCTGCTCTCTATCTGACCTCAAAGAGACCTAGGCCCAATGCAGACTATAAAGGTTCTACAGTCTGCTCTCTATCTGTCCTCAATGAGACCTAGGCCCAATGCAGACTCTAAAGTTTGCGCACTCTGGTCTCTTTCTGTCCTCAATGAGACCTAGGCCAAATGCAGACTGTAAAGGTTGCACAGCCTGCTCTCTAACTGTCCTCAATGAGACATAGGCCCAATGCAGACTCTAAAGGTTGCACAGTCTGCTCTCTATGTGTCCTCAATGAGACCTAGGCCCAGTGCAGACTCTAAAGGTTGCATAGTATGCTCTCTATCTGTCCTCAATGAGATCTAGGCCCAATGCAGACTCTAAGGGTTCCCGAGCCTGCTCTCTATCTGCCCTCAATGAGACCTAGGCCCAATGCAGACTCTAAAGGTTGCACAGTCCTCTCCCTATCTGTCCTCAATGAGACCTAGGCCCAATAGAGACTCTAAAGGTTGCACAGTCTGCTCTCTATCTGTCCTCAATGAGACCCAGGCCCAATGCAGACTCTAAACGTTGCATAGTCTGCTCTCTATCTGTCCGCAATTAGACCTAGGCCCAATGCAGACTCTAAACGTTGCACAGTCTGCTGTCTATCTGTCCGCAATTAGACCTAGGCCCAATGCAGACTCTAAAGGTTGCAGATTCTGCTGTCTATCTGACCTCAAGGAGACCTAGGCCCAATGCAGACTCTAAAGGTTGCACAGTCTGGTCTCTATCTGTCCTCAATGACACCTAGGCCCAGTGCAGACTCTAAAGTTTGCACAGTCTGCTCTCTGTCTGTCCTCAAAGAGACCTAGGCCCAGTGCAGACTCTAAAGGTTGCACAGTCTCCTCTCTATCTGTCCTCACTGATACCTAGGCCCAATGCAGACTCTAAAGGTTGCACAGTCTGTTCTCTATTTGTCCTCAATGAGACCCAGGCCCAATGCAGAGTCTAAAGGTTGCACAGTCTGCTCTCTATCGGTCCTCAATGAGACCTAGGCCCAATGCAGACTCTAAAGGTTGCACAGTCTGCTCTCTATCTGCCCTCAATGAGACCTAGGCCCAATGCAAACTCTAAAGGTTGCACAGTCTGGTCTCTATCTGTCCTCAATGAGACCTAGGCCCAATGCGGACTCTAAAGGTTGCACAGTGTGCTCTCCATCTGTCCTCAATGAGACCTAGGCCAAATGCAGACTCTAAAGGTTGCACAGTCTGCTCTCTATGTGTCCTCAATCAGACCTAGGCCCAGTGCAGACTCTAAAGTTTGCACAGTCTGCTCTCTATCGGCCCTCAATGAGACCTAGGCCCAATGCAGACTGTAAAGGTTGCACAGTCTGCTCTCTATCTGCTCTCAAGAGACCTAGGCCCAATGCAAACTCTAAAGGTTGCACATTCTGGTCTCTATCTCTCCTGAATGAGACCCAGGCCCAATGCAGACTGTAAAGGTTGCACAGTCTGCTCTCTATCTGTCCTCAATGAGACCTAGGCCCAGTGCAGACTGTAAAGTTTGCATAGTCTGCTCTCTATCTGTCCTCAGTGAGACCTAGGTCCAATGCAGACTCTAAATGTTGCACAGTCTGCTCTCTATCTGTCCTCGATGAGACCTAGCCCTAGTGCAGACTCTAAAGGTTGCACAGTCTGCTCTCTATCTGCCCTCAATGAGACCTAGGCCCAATGCAGACTCTAAAGGTTGCACAGTCGGCTCTCCATTTTTCCTCAATGAGACCCAGGCCCAATGCAGACTCTAAAGGTTGCACAGTCTGCTCTCTATCGGTCCTCAATGAGACCGAGGCCCTATGCAAACTCTAAAGGTTACACAGTGTGCTCTCTATCTGTCCTCAGTGAGACCTAGGCCCAATGCAGACTCTAAAGTTTGCGCAGTCTGCTCTCTATCTGTCCTCAATGAGACCTAGGGCCAGGCAGACTCTAAAGTTGCATAGTCTGCTCTCTATCAGTCCTCAGTGAGACCTAGACCTAATGCAGACTCTGAAGTTTGCAAAGTCTGCTCTCTATCTCTCCTCAGTGAGACCTAGACCCAATGCAGACTCTAAAGTTTGCACAGTATGGTCTCTATATGCCCTCAATGAGACCTAGGCCCAGTGCAGACTCTAAAGTTTGCAAAGTCTGCTCTCTATCTGTCCTCAATGAGACCTAGGCCCAATGCAGACTCTAAAGGTTGCACAGTCTGCCCTCTATCTGTCCTCAATGAGACCTAGGCCCAATGCAGACTCTAAAGTTTGCACAGTCTGGTCTCTATCTGTCCTCAATGAGACCTAGGCCCAATGCCGACTCTAGAGTTTGCACAGTGTGCTCTCTATCTGCTCTCAATGAGACCTAGGCCCAATGCAGACTCTAAAGTTTGCACAGTCTGCTCTCTAACTGCCCTCAATGAGACCTAGGCCCAATGCAGACTCTAAAGGTTGCACAGTCTGTTCTCTATCTGTCCTCAATGAGACCTAGGACAAGTGCAGACTCTAAAGCTTGCACAGTCTGCTCTCTATCTGACCTCAATGAGACCTAGGCCCAATGCAGACTATAAAGGTTCTACAGTCTGCTCTCTATCTGTCCTCAATGAGACCTAGGCCCAATGCAGACTCTAAAGTTTGCACACTCTGGTCTCTTTCTGTCCTCAATGAGACCTAGGCCAAATGCAGACTCTAAAGGTTGCACAGTCTGCTCTCTAACTGTCCTCAATGAGACATAGGCCCAATGCAGACTCTAAAGGTTGCACAGTCTGCTCTCTATGTGTCCTCAATGAGACCTAGGCCCAGTGCAGACTCTAAAGGTTGCATAGCATGCTCTCTATCTGTCCTCAATGATATCTAGGCCCAATGCAGACTCTAAGGGTTGCCGAGCCTGCTCTCTATCTGCCCTCAATGAGACCTAGGCCCAATGCAGACTCTAAAGGTTGCACAGTCCGCTCCCTATCTGTCCTCAATGAGACCTAGGCCCAATAGAGACCCTAAAGGTTGCACAGTCTGCTCTCTATCTGTCCTCAATGAGACCCAGGCCCAATGCAGACTCTAAACGTTGCATAGTCTGCTCTCTATCTGTCCGCAATTAGACCTAGGCCCAATGCAGACTCTAAACGTTGCACAGTCTGCTGTCTATCTGTCCGCAATTAGACCTAGGCCCAATGCAGACTCTAAAGGTTGCAGAGTCTGCTGTCTGTCTGACCTCAAGGAGACCTAGGCCCAATGCAGACTCTAAAGGTTGCACAGTCTGGTCTCTATCTGTCCTCAATGACACCTAGGCCCAGTGCAGACTCTAAAGTTTGCACATTCTGCTCTCTGTCTGTCCTCAAAGAGACCTAGGGCCAGTGCAGACTCTAAAGGTTGCACAGTCTCCTCTCTATTTGTCCTCACTGATACCTAGGCCCATTGTAGACTCTAAAGGTTGCACAGTCTGCCCTCTATCTGTCATCAATGAGACCTAGGCCCAATGCAGACTCTAAAGTTTCAACAGTCTGGTCTCTATCTGTCCTCAATGAGACCTAGGCCCAATGCCGACTCTAGAGGTTGCACAGTGTGCTCTCTATCTGCTCTCAATGAGACCTAGGCCCAATGCAGACTCTAAAGGTTGCACAGTCTGCTCTCTAACTGCCCTCAATGAGACCTAAGCCCAATGCAGACTCTAAAGGTTGCACAGTCTGGTCGCTATCTGTCCTCAATGAGACCCAGGCCCAATGCAGACTCTAAAGGTTGCACAGTCTGCTCTATATCTGTCCTCAATGAGACCTAGGACCAGTGCCGACTCTAATGGTTGCCTAGTCTGCTCTCTATCTGTCCTCAATGAGACGTAGGCCCAATGCAGACTCTAAAGGTTGCACAGTCCGGTCTCTATCTGTCCTCAATGAGACCTAGGCCCAATGCCGACTCTAAAGTTTGCACAGTGTGCTCTCTATCTGCTCTCAATGAGACCTAGGCCCAGTGCAGACTCTAAAGGTTGCACAGTCTGCTCTGTATCGGTCCATAATGAGACCTAGGCCCAATGCAGACTCTAAAGGTTGCACAGTCTGCCCTCTATCTGTCCTCAATGAGACCTAGGCCCAATGCAGACTCTAAAGTTTGCACAGTCTGGTCTCTATCTGTCCTCAATGAGACCTAGGCCCAATGCCGACTCTAGAGGTTGCACAGTGTGCTCTCTATCTGCTCTCAATGAGACCTAGGCCCAATGCAGACTCTAAAGGTTGCGCAGTCTGCTCTCTAAATGCCCTCAATGAGACCTAGGCCCAATGCAGACTCTAGAGGTTGCACAGTCTGCTCTCTATCTGTCCTCAATGAGACCTAGGCCCAGTGCAGACTCTAAAGGTTGCACAGTCTGCTCTCTATCTGTCCTCAATGAGACCCAGGCACAATGCAGACTCTAAAGGTTGCACAGTCTGCTCTATATCTGTCCTCAATGAGACCTAGGACCAGTGCCGACTCTAATGGTTGCCTAGTCTGCTCTCTATCTGTCCTCAATGAGACCTAGGCCCAATGCAGACTCTAAAGGTTGCACAGTCTGGTCTCTATCTGTCCTCAATGAGACCTAGGCCCAATGCCGACTCTAAAGGTTGCACAGTATGCTCTCTATCTGCTCTCAATGAGACCTAGGCCCAATGCAGACTCTAAAGGTTGCACAGTCTGCTCTCTATCTGTCCTCAATGAGACCTAGGCCCAGTGCAGACTCTAAAGGTTGCACAGTCTGCTCTCTATCTGCCCTCAATGAGACCTAGGCCCAATGCAGACTCTAAAGGTTGCACAGTCTGGTCTCTATCTGTCCTCAATGAGACCCAGGCCCAATGCAGACTGTAAAGGTTGCACAGTCTGCTCTATATGTGTCCTCAATGAGACCTAGGCCCAGTGCCGACTCTAAAGGTTGCCTAGTCTGCTCTCTATCTGTCCTCAATGAGACCTAGGTCCAATGCAGTCCCTAAAGGTTGCACAGTCTGCTCTCTATTTGTCCTCAGTGAGACCCAGGCCCAATGCAGACTCTAAAGGTTGCACAGTCTGCTCTCCATCGGTCCTCAATGAGACCGAGGCCCAATTCGGACTCTAAAGGTTGCACAGTCTGCTCTCTATCTGTCTTCAATGAGACCTAGGCCCAATGCAGACTCTAAAGTTTGCACAGTCTGCTCTCTGTCTGCCCTCAATGAGCCCTAGACCCAATGCAGACTCTAAAGGTTGCACAGTCTGCTCTCTATCTGTCCTCAATGAGACCTAGGCCCAATGCAGACTCTAAAGGTTGCACAGTCTGCTCTCTATGTGCCCTCAATGAGACCTAGGCCCAATGCAGACTCTAATGGTTGCACAGTCTGCTCTCTATCTGTCCTCAATGAGACTCAGGCTCAATGCAGTCTCTAAAGGTTGCACAGTCTGCTCTCTATCTGTCCTCAATGAGACCTAGGCCCAATGCAGACTCTAAAGGTTGCACCGTCTGCTCTCTATCTGCCCTCAATGAGACCTAGGCCCAATGCAGACTCTAAAGGTTGTACAGTCGGCTCTCTACCTGCCCTCATTGAGACCTAGGCCCAATGCAGACTGTAAAGGTTGCACCGTCTGTTCTCTATCTGCCCTCAATGAGACGTAGGCCCAATGCAGACTCTAAAGGTTGTGCAGTCTGCTCTCTATGTGCCCTCAATGAGACCTAGGCCCAATGCAGACTCTAAAGGTTGCACAGTCTGCTCTCTATCTGTCCTCAATGAGACCCAGGCTCAATGCAGTCTCTAAAGGTTGCACAGTGTGCTCTCTATCTGACCTCAATGAGACCTTGGCCCAATGCAGACTCTAAAGGTTGCACAGTCGGCTCTCTACCTGCCCTCAATGAGACCTAGGCCCAATGCAGATTCTAAAGGTTGCACAGTCTGCTCTCTATCGGTCCTCAATGAGACCGAGGCTCTATGCAGACTCTAAAGGTTACACAGTGTGCTCTCTATCTGTCCTCAATGAGACCTAGACCCAATGCAGACTCTAAAGTTTGCGCAGTCTGCTCTCTATCTGTCCTCAATGAGACCTAGGGCCAGTGCAGACTCTAAAGTTGCATAGTCTGCTCTCTATCAGTCCTCAGTGAGACCTAGACCTAATGCAGACTCTAAAGTTTGCAAAGTCTGCTCTCTATCTCTCCTCAGTGAGACCTAGACCCAATGCAGACTCTAAAGTTTGCACAGTATGGTCTCTATATGCCCTCAATGAGACCTAGGCCCAGTGCAGACTCGAAAGGTTGCACAGTCTGCTCTCTATCTGTCCTCAATGAGACCTAGGCTCAATGCAGACTCTAAAGGTTGCACAGTCTGCCCTCTATCTGTCCTCAATGAGACCTAGGCCCAATGCAGACTCTAAAGTTTGCACAGTCTGGTCTCTATCTGTCCTCAATGAGACCTAGGCCCAATGCCGACTCTAGAGGTTGCACAGTGTGCTCTCTATCTGCTCTCAATGAGACCTAGGCCCAATGCAGACTCTAAAGGTTGCACAGTCTGCTCTCTAACTGCCCTCAATGAGACCTAGGCCCAATGCAGACTCTAAAGGTTGCACAGTCTGTTCTCTATCTGTCCTCAATGAGACCTAGGCCAAGTGCAGACTCTAAAGCTTGCACAGTCTGCTCTCTATCTGACCTCAATGAGACCTAGGCCCAATGCAGACTATAAAGGTTCTACAGTCTGCTCTCTATCTGTCCTCAATGAGACCTAGGCCCAATGCAGACTCTAAAGTTTGCGCACTCTGGTCTCTTTCTGTCCTCAATGAGACCTAGGCCAAATGCAGACTGTAAAGGTTGCACAGCCTGCTCTCTAACTGTCCTCAATGAGACATAGGCCCAATGCAGACTCTAAAGGTTGCACAGTCTGCTCTCTATGTGTCCTCAATGAGACCTAGGCCCAGTGCAGACTCTAAAGGTTGCATAGTATGCTCTCTATCTGTCCTCAATGAGATCTAGGCCCAATGCAGACTCTAAGGGTTCCCGAGCCTGCTCTCTATCTGCCCTCAATGAGACCTAGGCCCAATGCAGACTCTAAAGGTTGCACAGTCCTCTCCCTATCTGTCCTCAATGAGACCTAGGCCCAATAGAGACTCTAAAGGTTGCACAGTCTGCTCTCTATCTGTCCTCAATGAGACCCAGGCCCAATGCAGACTCTAAACGTTGCATAGTCTGCTCTCTATCTGTCCGCAATTAGACCTAGGCCCAATGCAGACTCTAAACGTTGCACAGTCTGCTGTCTATCTGTCCGCAATTAGACCTAGGCCCAATGCAGACTCTAAAGGTTGCAGATTCTGCTGTCTATCTGACCTCAAGGAGACCTAGGCCCAATGCAGACTCTAAAGGTTGCACAGTCTGGTCTCTATCTGTCCTCAATGACACCTAGGCCCAGTGCAGACTCTAAAGTTTGCACAGTCTGCTCTCTGTCTGTCCTCAAAGAGACCTAGGCCCAGTGCAGACTCTAAAGGTTGCACAGTCTCCTCTCTATCTGTCCTCACTGATACCTAGGCCCAATGCAGACTCTAAAGGTTGCACAGTCTGTTCTCTATTTGTCCTCAATGAGACCCAGGCCCAATGCAGAGTCTAAAGGTTGCACAGTCTGCTCTCTATCGGTCCTCAATGAGACCTAGGCCCAATGCAGACTCTAAAGGTTGCACAGTCTGCTCTCTATCTGCCCTCAATGAGACCTAGGCCCAATGCAAACTCTAAAGGTTGCACAGTCTGGTCTCTATCTGTCCTCAATGAGACCTAGGCCCAATGCGGACTCTAAAGGTTGCACAGTGTGCTCTCCATCTGTCCTCAATGAGACCTAGGCCAAATGCAGACTCTAAAGGTTGCACAGTCTGCTCTCTATGTGTCCTCAATCAGACCTAGGCCCAGTGCAGACTCTAAAGTTTCCACAGTCTGCTCTCTATCGGCCCTCAATGAGACCTAGGCCCAATGCAGACTGTAAAGGTTGCACAGTCTGCTCTCTATCTGCTCTCAAGAGACCTAGGCCCAATGCAAACTCTAAAGGTTGCACATTCTGGTCTCTATCTCTCCTGAATGAGACCCAGGCCCAATGCAGACTGTAAAGGTTGCACAGTCTGCTCTCTATCTGTCCTCAATGAGACCTAGGCCCAGTGCAGACTGTAAAGTTTGCATAGTCTGCTCTCTATCTGTCCTCAGTGAGACCTAGGTCCAATGCAGACTCTAAATGTTGCACAGTCTGCTCTCTATCTGTCCTCGATGAGACCTAGCCCTAGTGCAGACTCTAAAGGTTGCACAGTCTGCTCTCTATCTGCCCTCAATGAGACCTAGGCCCAATGCAGACTCTAAAGGTTGCACAGTCTGCTCTCTGTTTTTCCTCAATGAGACCCAGGCCCAATGCAGACTCTAAAGGTTGCACAGTCTGCTCTCTATCGGTCCTCAATGAGACCGAGGCCCTTTGCAAACTCTAAAGGTTACACAGTGTGCTCTCTATCTGTCCTCAGTGAGACCTAGGCCCAATGCAGACTCTAAAGTTTGCGCAGTCTGCTCTCTATCTGTCCTCAATGAGACCTAGGGCCAGGCAGACTCTAAAGTTGCATAGTCTGCTCTCTATCAGTCCTCAGTGAGACCTAGACCTAATGCAGACTCTGAAGTTTGCAAAGTCTGCTCTCTATCTCTCCTCAGTGAGACCTAGACCCAATGCAGACTCTAAAGTTTGCACAGTATGGTCTCTATATGCCCTCAATGAGACCTAGGCCCAGTGCAGACTCTAAAGTTTGCAAAGTCTGCTCTCTATCTGTCCTCAATGAGACCTAGGCCCAATGCAGACTCTAAAGGTTGCACAGTCTGCCCTCTATCTGTCCTCAATGAGACCTAGGCCCAATGCAGACTCTAAAGTTTGCACAGTCTGGTCTCTATCTGTCCTCAATGAGACCTAGGCCCAATGCCGACTCTAGAGTTTGCACAGTGTGCTCTCTATCTGCTCTCAATGAGACCTAGGCCCAATGCAGACTCTAAAGTTTGCACAGTCTGCTCTCTAACTGCCCTCAATGAGACCTAGGCCCAATGCAGACTCTAAAGGTTGCACAGTCTGTTCTCTATCTGTCCTCAATGAGACCTAGGACAAGTGCAGACTCTAAAGCTTGCACAGTCTGCTCTCTATCTGACCTCAATGAGACCTAGGCCCAATGCAGACTATAAAGGTTCTACAGTCTGCTCTCTATCTGTCCTCAATGAGACCTAGGCCCAATGCAGACTCTAAAGTTTGCACACTCTGGTCTCTTTCTGTCCTCAATGAGACCTAGGCCAAATGCAGACTCTAAAGGTTGCACAGTCTGCTCTCTAACTGTCCTCAATGAGACATAGGCCCAATGCAGACTCTAAAGGTTGCACAGTCTGCTCTCTATGTGTCCTCAATGAGACCTAGGCCCAGTGCAGACTCTAAAGGTTGCATAGCATGCTCTCTATCTGTCCTCAATGATATCTAGGCCCAATGCAGACTCTAAGGGTTGCCGAGCCTGCTCTCTATCTGCCCTCAATGAGACCTAGGCCCAATGCAGACTCTAAAGGTTGCACAGTCCGCTCCCTATCTGTCCTCAATGAGACCTAGGCCCAATAGAGACCCTAAAGGTTGCACAGTCTGCTCTCTATCTGTCCTCAATGAGACCCAGGCCCAATGCAGACTCTAAACGTTGCATAGTCTGCTCTCTATCTGTCCGCAATTAGACCTAGGCCCAATGCAGACTCTAAACGTTGCACAGTCTGCTGTCTATCTGTCCGCAATTAGACCTAGGCCCAATGCAGACTCTAAAGGTTGCAGAGTCTGCTGTCTGTCTGACCTCAAGGAGACCTAGGCCCAATGCAGACTCTAAAGGTTGCACAGTCTGGTCTCTATCTGTCCTCAATGAGACCTAGGCCCAGTGCAGACTCTAAAGTTTGCACATTCTGCTCTCTGTCTGTCCTCAAAGAGACCTAGGGCCAGTGCAGACTCTAAAGGTTGCACAGTCTCCTCTCTATTTGTCCTCACTGATACCTAGGCCCATTGTAGACTCTAAAGGTTGCACAGTCTGCCCTCTATCTGTCCTCAATGAGACCTAGGCCCAATGCAGACTCTAAAGTTTCAACAGTCTGGTCTCTATCTGTCCTCAATGAGACCTAGGCCCAATGCCGACTCTAGAGGTTGCACAGTGTGCTCTCTATCTGCTCTCAATGAGACCTAGGCCCAATGCAGACTCTAAAGGTTGCACAGTCTGCTCTCTAACTGCCCTCAATGAGACCTAAGCCCAATGCAGACTCTAAAGGTTGCACAGTCTGGTCGCTATCTGTCCTCAATGAGACCCAGGCCCAATGCAGACTCTAAAGGTTGCACAGTCTGCTCTATATCTGTCCTCAATGAGACCTAGGACCAGTGCCGACTCTAATGGTTGCCTAGTCTGCTCTCTATCTGTCCTCAATGAGACGTAGGCCCAATGCAGACTCTAAAGGTTGCACAGTCCGGTCTCTATCTGTCCTCAATGAGACCTAGGCCCAATGCCGACTCTAAAGTTGGCACAGTGTGCTCTCTATCTGCTCTCAATGAGACCTAGGCCCAATGCAGACTCTAAAGGTTGCACAGTCTGCTCTCTAACTGCCCTCAATGAGACCTAGGCCCAATGCAGACTCTAAACGTTGCATAGTCTGGTCTCTATCTGCCCTCAATGAGACCTAGGCCCAATGCAGACTCTAGAGTTTGCACAGTCTGCTCTCTATCTGTCCTCAATGAGACCTAGGCCAAGTGCAGACTCTAAAGCTTGCACAGTCTGCTCTCTATCTGACCTCAATGAGACCTAGGCCCAATGCAGACTATAAAGTTTCTACAGTCTGCTCTCTATCTGTCCTCAATGAGACCTAGGCCCAATGCTGACTCTAAAGGTTGCACACTCTGGTCTGTTTCTGTCCTCAATGAGACCTAGGCCAAATGCAGACTCTAAAGCTTGCACAGTCTGCTCTCTAACTGTCCTCAATGAGACATAGGCCCAATGCAGACTCTAAAGGTTGCACAGTCTGCTCTCTATGTGTCCTCAATGAGACCTAGGCCCAATGCAGACTCTAAAGGTTGCATAGTATGCTCTCTATCTGTCCTCAATAAGATCTAGGCCCAATGCAGACTCTAAGGGTTGCCGAGCCTGCTCTCTATCTGCCCTCAATGAGACCTAGGCCCAATGCAGACTCTAAAGGTTGCACAGTCCGCTCTCTATCTGTCCTCAATGAGACCTAGGCCCAATAGAGACTCTAAAGGTTGCACAGTCTGCTCTCTATCTGTCCTGAATGAGACCCAGGCCCAATGCAGACTCTAAACGTTGCATAGTCTGCTCTCTATCTGTCCGCAATTAGACCTAGGCCCAATGCAGACTCTAAAGGTTGCACAGTCTGCTGTCTATCTGACCTCAAGGAGACCTAGGCCCAATGCAGACTCTAAAGGTTGCACAGTCTGGTCTCTTTCTGTCCTCAATGACACCTAGGCCCAGTGCAGACTCTAAAGTTTGCACAGTCTGCTCTCTGTCTGTCCTCAAAGAGACCTAGGCCCAGTGCAGACTCTAAAGGTTGCACAGTCTGCTCTCTATCTGTCCTCAATGAGACCTAGGCCCAATGCAGACTCTAAAGGTTGCACAGTTTGCTCTCTATCTGCCCTCAATGAGACCTAGGTCCAATGCAAACTCTAAAGGTTGCACAGTCTGGTCTCTATCTGTCTTCAATGAGACCCAGGCCCAATGCAGACTCTAAAGATTGCACAGTCTGCTCTCTATCGGTCCTCAATGAGACCGAGGCCCTATGCAGACTCTAAAGGTTACACAGTGTGCTCTCTATCTGCCCTCAATGAGACCTAGGCCCAGTGCAGACTCTAAAGGTTGCACAGTCTGCTCTGTATCGGTCCACAATGAGACCTAGGCCCAATGCAGACTCTAAAGGTTGCACAGTCTGCCCTCTATCTGTCCTCAATGAGACCTAGGCCCAATGCAGACTCTAAAGTTTGCACAGTCTGGTCTCTATCTGTCCTCAATGAGACCTAGGCCCAATGCCGACTCTAGTGGTTGCACAGTGTGCTCTCTATCTGCTCTCAATGAGACCTAGGCCCAATGCAGACTCTAAAGGTTGCGCAGTCTGCTCTCTAAATGCCCTCAATGAGACCTAGGCCCAATGCAGACTCTAGAGGTTGCACAGTCTGCTCTCTATCTGTCCTCAATGAGACCTAGGCCCAGTGCAGACTCTAAAGGTTGCACAGTCTGCTCTCTATCTGTCCTCAATGAGACCCAGGCACAATGCAGACTCTAAAGGTTGCACAGTCTGCTCTATATCTGTCCTCAATGAGACCTAGGACCAGTGCCGACTCTAATGGTTGCCTAGTCTGCTCTCTATCTGTCCTCAATGAGACCTAGGCCCAATGCAGACTCTAAAGGTTGCACAGTCTGGTCTCTATCTGTCCTCAATGAGACCTAGGCCCAATGCCGACTCTAAAGGTTGCACAGTATGCTCTCTATCTGCTCTCAATGAGACCTAGGCCCAATGCAGACTCTAAAGGTTGCACAGTCTGCTCTCTATCTGTCCTCAATGAGACCTAGGCCCAGTGCAGACTCTAAAGGTTGCACAGTCTGCTCTCTATCTGCCCTCAATGAGACCTAGGCCCAATGCAGACTCTAAAGGTTGCACAGTCTGGTCTCTATCTGTCCTCAATGAGACCCAGGCCCAATGCAGACTGTAAAGGTTGCACAGTCTGCTCTATATGTGTCCTCAATGAGACCTAGGCCCAGTGCCGACTCTAAAGGTTGCCTAGTCTGCTCTCTATCTGTCCTCAATGAGACCTAGGTCCAATGCAGTCCCTAAAGGTTGCACAGTCTGCTCTCTATTTGTCCTCAGTGAGACCCAGGCCCAATGCAGACTCTAAAGGTTGCACAGTCTGCTCTCCATCGGTCCTCAATGAGACCGAGGCCCAATTCGGACTCTAAAGGTTGCACAGTCTGCTCTCTATCTGTCTTCAATGAGACCTAGGCCCAATGCTGACTCTAAAGTTTGCACAGTCTGCTCTCTGTCTGCCCTCAGTGGGCCCTAGACCCAATGCAGACTCTAAAGGTTGCACAGTCTGCTCTCTATCTGTCCTCAATGAGACCTAGGCCCAATGCAGACTCTAAAGGTTGCACAGTCTGCTCTCTATGTGCCCTCAATGAGACCTAGGCCCAATGCAGACTCTAATGGTTGCACAGTCTGCTCTCTATCTGTCCTCAATGAGACTCAGGCTCAATGCAGTCTCTAAAGGTTGCACAGTCTGCTCTCTATCTGTCCTCAATGAGACCTAGGCCCAATGCAGACTCTAAAGGTTGCACCGTCTGCTCTCTATCTGCCCTCAATGAGACCTAGGCCCAATGCAGACTCTAAAGGTTGTACAGTCGGCTCTCTACCTGCCCTCAATGAGACCTAGGCCCAATGCAGACTGTAAAGGTTGCACCGTCTGTTCTCTATCTGCCCTCAATGAGACGTAGGCCCAATGCAGACTCTAAAGGTTGCACAGTCTGCTCTCTATCTGTCCTCAATGAGACCCAGGCTCAATGCAGTCTCTAAAGGTTGCACAGTGTGCTCTCTATCTGACCTCAATGAGACCTTGGCCCAATGCAGACTCTAAAGGTTGCACAGTCGGCTCTCTACCTGCCCTCAATGAGACCTAGGCCCAATGCAGATTCTAAAGGTTGCACAGTCTGGTCTCTATCTGCCCTTAATGAGACCTACACTCCCAGGAGTCTGCAGAACAGGGTGTGTGTAAGTTTTCTGGGGCCGCTCAAGGAAACGGGGGATTAAAAAATATTATCCTCACAGTGCTGGCATGTTGGCCTACACAGAGCCCTGCTCGCCGTGAACGTCAGGACTTCCTGCGTGATCTCTTCAAGTCCGATTGGGAGCCCTTTGACTCGTCCCCTGTCTGTGCTGGAGAATTCAGAGCCCACTGACTCATCTTTCTTTGTGGCCTGGGAGAGTTGTGGAGAACATGCTGTACCTTCGCGGTGCCGCACGGATCTTCCTGCTCCCTCCCTCGGGAGTCTCGCAGGGACCCCATCTCGTTTTAATGTTTTGTCAATACGGCACCCACGAGAACGTTGCAGGGAAGACACCACTGTGGCCGTAAACCACAGAAACTAGAGCTGAAGTGGCCCCAGGTGGCCTCCAGTCAAGCAGTATCCAAATTCTTCACCCTGAGGCCCTTTATTTATTATTATTATTATTAGAGACGGAGTTTCGCTCTTGTTACCCAGGCTGGAGTGCAATGGTGTGATATCAGCTCACCGCAACCTCCGCCTCCCGGGTTCAAGCAATTCTCTGGCCTCAGCCTCCCAAGTAGCTGGGATTACAGGTGGGCGCCACCACGCCTGGCTAATTTTTTGTATTTTTAGAGATGGGGATTCTCTATGTTGGTCAGGCTGGTCTCGAACTCCCAACCTCAGGTGAGCTGCTGGCCTTGGCCTCCCAAAGTGCTGGGATTACAGGCGTGCACCACCACACCCAGCCCTATCTTATTCTTTTTCTCTCACCAGGGACCCCAAATTTGGAAGAACCATAATCATGTTTATTGACATTATGTTAAATTAAGGTTCCCACGTTTATTAATAAAAGAAATATATCATTAGCCTGGCCTTTTAAATTTTTCTTAATTTAATTTTTTTTTTTTTTTGAGGCAGGGTCTCACTCTGTCACCCAGGCTGGAGTGCAATGGTACCATCATGGCTCACCACAGCCCCCCGCTCCTAGGCTCAAGCAATCCTCTTGCCTCAGCCTCCTGAGTATCTGGGGATTATAGGTGCACACCATCACACTCAGCCAATTAAAAAAAAATTTCTAGTAGAGATGGGGTCTCACCAAGTTGTCCAGGCTGGTCTCACACTTCTGAGCTCAAGTAATCGTCCTGCTTTGGCCTCCCAAAGTGCTCGGATTACAGGGGTAAGCTACCACATTCAGCCTTTATTTTTATTTTTAATGGAGGTAAAAGCCACATAACATAAAATTTACCCTTTCAACTACTTCTTTTTTTTAGATGGAGGCTTGCTCTGTTGCCCAGGCTGGAGTGCAGTGGCACAATCTCAGCTCACTTCAACCTCTACCTCCCGGGTTCAAGTGATTCCCCTGCCTCAGCCTCCCAAGTAGCTGGGATCACAGGCACCCGCCACCACACCTGGCAAATTTTTTGTATTTTAGTAGAGACGGGGTTTCACTGTGTTGGCCAAGACGGTGTCGATCTCCTGACCTCGTGATCCGCCTGCCTCGGCCTCCCAAAGTGCTGGGATTACAGGCATGAGCCACCGCGCCCGGCCCCTTTAAAGTATTTTTAAGGATACACTTCAGCAGTGTTCATCATATCCGCATTGTTGTATAACAGATGTTTACAACTTCTTCATCTTACAAAACAGAAACTGTGTCCACATCAAACCAGGGTGCCCCATTCCCCCGGCCCCTGGCACCCACCATTCTACTGTCTGTCTCTATGAATTCCACTCTTCCAGAGACCTCATAGGAGTGGGATCACACAGCACTTTTTTGTCTGGCTTATCTTGTTAACAACAGGTGAGTCCATGTGGTAGCCTGTCTCATCATTCCTTCCTTTTTAGGGCTGATTCATATTTCATTATATGGATGAACCACATTTTCTTTTTCCAGTCATGCTGTAACAGGATGAGTCACAGTCAAAACTCCTCAGACACCAGATTAAAGAAGGAAGAGGTTTTTTTATTTGGCCGGGAGATTCGGCAGACTCGTGTCTTAAGAGCCGAGCTCCCCGAAAAAGAAATTCCTAGCCCTTTTAAGGGCTAAGAACTCTAAGGGGTCTATGTGAAAGAGTCATAATAGATCAAGTAAGTGTGAGGAACGTGAGTGGGGGCTACATACATCAGCTAAGAGAACAAAAAGTTTTTATTTTTTTATTTTTTTTGAGACGGAATCTCGCTCTGTGGCCCAGGCTGGAGTGCAGTGGCGTGATCTCAGCTCACTGCAAGCTCCGCCTCCCGGGTTCACACCATTCTCCTGCCTCAGCCTCCCCAGTAGCTGGGACTACAGGCGCCCGCCACCGCGCCCGGCTAATTTTTTGTATTTTTAGTAGACACGGGGTTTCATCATGTTAACCAGGATGGTCTCGATCTCCTGACCTTGTGATCCACCCGCCTCGGCCTCCCAAAGTGCTGGGATTAGAGGCTGGAGCCACCGTGCCCGGCCTGCACCCAGCTAATTTTTTGTATTTTTAGTAGAGATGGGGTTTCACCGTGTTAGCCAGGATGGTCTCAATCTCCTGACCTCATGATCCTCCCACCTCGGCCTCCCAAAGTCCTGGGATTACAGGCGTGAGCCACCGCGCCCGGCCAGAACAAAAAGTTTTACAGTGCTTTCTCATACAATGTCTGGAATTTACAGATAGCACCAGTAGTTTTGGTCAGCGGTTAATACTATTATTATTTTAATCACCAGGGCCAGGTGGTGGCACCAAGGTCGTCTAGCTATTTATCTTACTTTTGTTTCTTTCCAACTTTTTGCTTTCTCTCTTTTCTCTTGTCTTATAAACTAGGGAAAAGGGGAGGTTGGGGAGAAAGTGGGAAGGACAACAGGAGAAGTGGTGGTGTCATAACATAATGCGATCATGGGCACCGGGCTGCTTCCATCTTTTGGCTATTGTGAATACTGCTGTAACGACCACGGTTGTGCAATAATCCCTTCCAGACTCTGCTTTCAATCTTTTTGGATTTAGTCGGAGAAGTAATGTGATTGCTGGTTCATAGGTGGTTCCATTTCTGGTTATTTATTTATTTTTTAAGAGACAGAGTTTTATATGTTGCCCAGGCTGGCCTTGAACTCCTGGGCTTCAGTGATCCCCTTCCCTCAGCCTCCCAAGTAGCCGGTAGTGCAGCTGCACATCACCACACCCAAGTGATTTTTAGTTGTTATTTTTCTGGTTTTGTTTTTGCGGAGATGGAGTTTCACTGTGCCGCCCAGGGTGGAGTGCGGTGGCATAATCGGCTCACTGCAGCCTCCACCTCCTGGTTCAGGCGCTTCTCCTGCCTTAGCCTCCCGAGTAGCTGGGACTATAGGCATCTGTCACCACACTTAGCTAATTATTTTGTGTTTGCTTCCCCCCACCCCGCCCCCCCGAGATGGAGTCTTCCTTTGTCACCCAGGCTGGAGTGCAGTGGCGCGATCTCGGCTCAATGCAACCTCTGCCTCCGGGGTTCAAGCAATTCTCCTGCCTCAGCCTCCCGGGTAGCTGGGATTCCTGGCACCCACAACCACGCCCGGCTAATTTTTTATTTTTAGTAGAGACGGAGTTTCACCATGTTGGCCAGGCTGGTCTCGAACTCCTGACTTTGTGATCCACCTGCCTCGGGCTCCCAAAGTGCTGGGATGACAGGTGTGAGCCACTGTGCCCAGCCTGATATTTAGTGCTTTTTTGAGGAGGCTCCATAGTGTTTTCCACGGTGGCCACACCATTTTCTAGTCCTACAGGCAATCCACGAGGGCTCCAATTTCCACACATCCTTGTTAACACTATTTTTGTTTCACTGTAGCATTTCATGGATGTGAGGTGCTATCACTGTGGTTTTGATGTGTATTTCTCTAATGATTACTGATGTTGAGGATCCTTCCATGTTTGTTTGCTACTTGTATATCTTTTCTGGAGAAATATCTATTCAGGTCGTTTGCTCATTTTTCAATCAGTTAACTTGTTTTTCAATTGTTCAGTTGCAGGAGCTCTTTATATGTGCTGGACGAATATCCGACGTACCAGACATATAATCTGCAGTTATTTCCTCTTATTCCATGTCTTGCCTTTTCACTGTTGTTTCCTGTGCAGAAATGTTTAACCTCGAAGTTGGACCATTTGTCTATTTGTGCTTTTGTTGCCTGTGCTTATCTGGGCTTTGGATAGGCCAGAGGTAAACGGCAGGTGTTACTGCACCAAGTTCATAAAATCGAGCCCAAAACAAAGGAGTCGACACAGTAATTAGCTGGTGTGTCGCCTTGGCGAGAATATATATGACTTTTGCTGAGAATTTTCATTAATGTTTATTTTCTATTTTTATTTTTTGAGATGGAGTCTCGCTCTGTCGCCCAGGCCGGAGTGCAGTGGCGCAATCTCAGCTCACTGCAAGCTCCACCTCCCGGGCTCACGCTGTTCTCCTGCCTCAGCCTCCTGAGTAGCTGGGACTACAGGCGCCCGCCACCGCGCCCGGAGAATTTTTTGTATTTTTAGTAGAGATGGGGTTTCACTGTGTTGGCCAGGATGGTCTTGATCTCCTGACCTCGTGATCCACCTGCCTTGGCCTCCCAAAGTGCTGGGATTACAGGCGTGAGCCACCGCGCCCGGCCATTAATGTTTATTTTGACGCAACTTCACAGTTACATTAAGGCAACAATATGGCGCAAAGAATTCCTTCGTATCAGGCATTCACATTCCCCAAACGCTGGCGGTCTACAACAGCTTCATCCTGGATCAGAACCAAGTGGAGGGACTGCTGTTTCTGTGGGCTGGTTTCCTGGGGGCTGCCATAACCAGTGACCAGAAACCGGGTGGGTTCGTCAACAGGAATTTATCATCTCCCAGTCTCGGATGTCGATGTTGAAGCCCTAACCCCCACTGCCTCAGAACGTGAGTGTATTTGGCCTCATAGTATTAGAACGAGGCTGTCAGGGTGGGCCCTAAAGCAACCTGCTGTTCTCATGAGAGGAAGTGTGGACACACACAGAAGAGACGATAGGGATACTTGTGCACAGTGAAAAGACCCTATGAGCGTACACCAGACGGCGTCCGCAAGCCGAGGAGAGGAGAAACCAGCCCTGCTGACAACACCTTGCTCTCGGACCTCAGCCTCCAGGTCTGTGGGAAGATAATTTTCAGTGAAGCCCTCCAGTCTTGGTACCTTATGGCGGCCCTGAACACTCATACAGACGGGTACATTTACTGTCCCTGTTCTTCTGCCGAGGAAATGGAGGCACAGAGACGTTTAGTGAACTTGACCCATGTGGGAGGGCCAGGAGCGGTCAAGGTTGGATTGGAACAAACCACCCTTTTTGCAGCACTCACGTTCTTAGGCACGACGCCTGCTTCCTTAGGTGCTCTGCAAAGAGAATACGGCAGAGTGCACCCCGAACACGCAACGGTACAGTCACAAAGATGACACTGGCTCCAAGTGTCTTCAGCAAAATGGGAACGTGTCAGAAGAGTAGGGGGGTCTCTCATGGCGTGAATACAAGGCCCCTAGAAAGGAAGAGACAGCTCAGCCCACCACCCTCAGAGGAAGGTCTTGGTTCTGCTTTACCACTGAGTAGTTTCCCACCTCCGACAGGAGAAGGCCTCAGTACCTAGACCTCAGGACCTAGAAGGTCTCAGTACCTAGGCGACCTCAGTACCGACGAGGTCTCTGTACATAGGAGATCTCCGTGCCTAGGAGACCTCAGTATCTAGGAGGTCTCAGCACCGTGGCGACCTCAGCACCGAGGCAACCTCAGTACCGAGGCGACCTCAATACCTAGGAGGTCTCAGCACCGAGGCGACCTCAGCACCGAGGAGACTTCAGTACCGAGGAGATCTCAGTACCCAGGGGACCTCAGTACCTAGTAGGTCAAACTGAGAGACGAAACGTAGAGGGGAGGTTGTCACGGGCTGGGGGAGGCGGAAAGGAGAGCTGTTCAGCTTGGAAAGGTGCAAACGTTCTGCAGACAGACGGTGGCGCCGAGCGCACCACGCGATGTGCTCAGTCCCACCGACCTGCGCCCTGAAAACGGCCAGTATGGCAAACTCCGTGTTTTGTATATTGTGCCACAAAGAAGAAAAAGTGTCTTAGGGAGAGAGGGAGGGAGAGAGGGAGGGCGAGGAGCGAGGGCGCCGCGGCCGGCCCCGCCCCGCCCCGCCGCGCAGCCCCCTACAGGCCGAGCAGCTCGCGCGGGGTCCCGCGTCCCCCAGGTCGGCTCCCGCCCGGGGCTGGGCCGCTGCGGGAACAGGGTTGGCCCAAGGCAGCCGCCGGTCCCGAGCAGCATGCGCGATGCGGGCTGGGCAGGACCCCGTGGCCCCTCCGCCGCCCTCTCAGTCCGCGCGAGGGCCCCACTCGGGGCTCGGCCGGGCTCCGGGAACGCGGTCTGCGGTCCAGGGGCCGCGAGCCTCCGCCGCTCCTCGGCCTCGTGGGCCCGGGCGCTGGGTGGGGCCGCGGGTGGGCGTCAGGGGCCAGGCTGGGCGCCGAGGTCTGCAAAGGGGCGGAGAAGACGGGCTTGGGCTCCGCGCAGAACCTGCGAGTGGGCGGCGGTGCACCTCCCACCCGGGTCACCTCGGTGCCACCCATGCCTGCCTCAGTGCAGGCGGACCCACGGCCCTCCACGCCCTCCCTCGCTCGCGTGCTGCCCGGCTGGCCGCTGTTCGCATCCTCTCGCTAACTCCGTGGGGTCCCGCCCATTCGGGCGACTGCCCCGGCTGCAGCCCACCCGCTAATCTCGGCTATCTTCCCTCACTCAGTTCTTCGCCTCCACCAGCTTCGGCTCTTTTCGTCACCCCTCTTTACTCCCCGTTCCTCTCCGTCACTTTCCGTCATCTCCGAATAGGCTCGGCCGGCTGCATCTCACCATTTCGCTTTCCTCTTTGTCGCCCTCTGATAAATTTCGTGACTCTTCGTCACTGTCCGTCAGTCCCCGTCACTTTCCGTCAATTCTCGCCACTTTCCGTCGCTCTCCGCCGCCCTTCAGCTCCGCTCGGCTCTTCTCCGTCAGACATCGTCTACTTTCGTCACTCTCCGTCACCCTTCGTCACTCTCCGTCTGCTCCCTACCCCGCACTCCGGGTGGAGAAAGCCTCAGGGACTTTTCCTGCCCTTAGCCCTTTTCCGTCCCTCTCCGATCCTGCTGTCTGTCAGTCCCTGGTTATTTCTGGTCTGCTCGTGACTCTGTCCTCCTCCCTTCACTCCTGGGAGGGTGGCCTGGTCCCTCCTGAGAGGCCTCTCCCCACTACCCGGCCTGAATGATGGTGGTGAGCGGGAGGTCTCGAGGTGATCCCGAGGGAAGGAGCGGGGGTCTGAGGGTGGTCCCGAGAGGGACCCGAGGGGTGGAGCGGGGGGAGGGTCTGGAGATGGCCCCGAGGAGGTCCCGATAGGAGGAGCGGCAGTCTGGGGGTGGTGCCGAGGGAAGAAGCCGTCTGGTGTGGTCTGGAAAATGGGAGCAGGGGGTCTGGGGTGGTCCCGAGGGGAGGAGCGGGGGTCTGGGGTGGTCCCGAGGGGAGGAGCGGGGGTCTGAGGTGGTCCCGAGGGGAGGAGCGGGGGGTCTGGGGGTGGTCCCGTGGGTAGGAGGGGGGGTCTGGGGATGGTCCTAAGAGGAGGAGCAGGGGGTCTGGGGGTGGTCCCGAGGGGAGGAGCGGGGGTCTGGGGTGGTCCCGAGGGGAGGAGCGGGGGTCTGGGGTGGTCCCGAGGGGAGGAGCGGGGGTTCTGGGGGTGGTCCCGAGGGGAGGAGCGGGGGTCTGGGGTGGTCCCGAGGGGAGGAGCGGGGGTCTGGGGTGGTCCCGAGGGGAGGAGCGGGGGTCTGGGGTGGTCCCGAGGGGAGGAGCTGGGGGTTCTGGGTGTGGTCCCGTGGGTAGGAGGGGGGGTCTGGGGATGGTCCTAAGAGGAGGAGCAGGGGGTCTGGGGGTGGTCCCGAGGGGAGGAGCGGGGGTCTGGGGTGGTCCCGAGGGGAGGAGCGGGGGTCTGGGGTGGTCCCGAGGGGAGGAGCGGGGGTCTGGGGTGGTCCCGAGGGGAGGAGCTGGGGGTTCTGGGTGTGGTCCCGTGGGTAGGAGGGGGGGTCTGGGGATGGTCCTAAGAGGAGGAGCAGGGGGTCGGGGGTGGTCCCGAGGGGAGGAGCGGGGGTCTGGGGTGGTCCCGAGGGGAGGAGCGGGGGTCTGGGGTGGTCCCGAGGGGAGGAGCGGGGGTCTGGGGTGGTCCTAAGAGGAGGAGCAGGGGGTCTGGGGGTGGTCCCGAGGGGAGGAGCTGGGGGTTCTGGGTGTGGTCCCGTGGGTAGGAGGGGGGGTCTGGGGATGGTCCTAAGAGGAGGAGCAGGGGGTCTGGGGGTGGTCCCGAGGGGAGGAGCGGGGGTCTGGGGTGGTCCCGAGGGGAGGAGCGGGGGTCTGGGGTGGTCCCGAGGGGAGGAGCGGGGGTCTGGGGTGGTCCCGAGGGGAGGAGCTGGGGGTTCTGGGTGTGGTCCCGTGGGTAGGAGGGGGGGTCTGGGGATGGTCCTAAGAGGAGGAGCAGGGGGTCTGGGGTGGTCCCGAGGGGAGGAGCGGGGGTCTGGGGTGGTCCCGAGGGGAGGAGCGGGGGTCTGGGGGTGGTCCCGAGGGGAGGAGCGGGGGTCTGGGGTGGTCCCGAGGGGAGGAGCTGGGGGTTCTGGGTGTGGTCCCGTGGGTAGGAGGGGGGGTCTGGGGATGGCCCTAAGAGGAGGAGCGGGGGTCTGCATGTGGTTTTCAGGGGTGGAGCATGGGGTCTCCCTGTGGTTCGGAGGGTGGAGCAGGGGGTCTGGGGTTGGTACTTTTGGGCGGGACAGCGCTATTTCTCTTTTTGGTCCGGTTCCCATCTGCTGATCTGGGGGTCCTTGTGATCCTGACAGGTGGGGCCGAATGGGAGGGTCAAGGTGAGGGGAAGGAAGGAGTGGCAGCCTGGTCCCAAGGGAGCAGGAAAGGGTTTGTGGTTCAGTTCTGATGTGTGACCCATCCATAGGAGAATGGACACCTCAGACTCTCTCAATCCTGGCCAGTGGCAGGTCCCAGTAGCTGCCTTCCCTGGCTGTCCTTGAGGCTCACTGGAGGATACTTCTTTTTCATTCTGGCAAATTTTAAAAAATTCTTCTATAGATCTCAGTGAGTTCAAAGCTGCCTGTGTGCAGGCATAGATCCGTTCTTTGCTGAGCTTCCACTCTAGTCGGCTGAAAGGAAAGGGTAATATAGCTGGAAAAGGTATCCTGGGGTGATTAGAGGATTCTACATTTCATCTTAGAAAGGGATATTGACAGGAGACCAGAACTTCCAGATCCTCTTGAATTTCAAGAACTACTTCCAAGCCTGGACAATATCGGGAGGCCTCATCTCTACAAAATAAAAATTAAGAAATTCGCCACGTGCGATGGCACACTCCTGTAGTCCCACCTACTCTGGAGGCTGAGGCGGGAAGATCGCTTGAGCTTGGGAGTCCGAGGCTGCAGTCAGCTGTGATCATGCCACTGCACTCCAGCCTGGGTGACAGAGCAAGA
Organism: Homo sapiens; assembly: GCF_000001405.40. NCBI lineage: Eukaryota > Metazoa > Chordata > Mammalia > Primates > Hominidae > Homo > Homo sapiens. The sequence goes on along the minus strand of NC_000024.10, from coordinate 16,710 downwards.
CCCTGAAAAAAAAAAGGGAGGGAGGGAAGGAGGGAGGGAGGGAGGAAGGAAGGAATGAAGGAAGGAAGGAAATGGCTTAAGCTCAGAGAGCTGTGTGTGGCCCCCAGCTCCCACCCCCACCAAAGGGCCTGCAAACCCACGGAGGGGCAGGTTGTCTTGAGCTGGAGCTACGGGGACGGGGGGACCTGAACTGTCGGGGTTAGGGTTAGGGTTAGGCTTTGAGATTTCGGGTTACAGAATATAGATGGGTTTGGTCCTGGGAAAATTCCAGGTCTGGGTTTTGCGGTTGGGGGTTGGTCTCAGGTGAGATGCGGCAGGTTTACAGTGTTTGCAAGGTATGTACAGATTTATATGGTGCTATTGCTTGAATGTGTTCTCCAGATTTCATGTGTTGGCAATTTTTTTTCTTTTCTTTTTGACATGGTGTCTTGCTCTGTCATCTATCACCCAGGCTGGAGTGCAATCGTGGGATCTCGGCTCGCTGCAACCTCTGCCTCCCAGGTTCGAGCGATTCTCACACCTCAGCCTCCTGGTAGCTGGCATTGTGGCAGGACAAGCCGCAGACAAAATTCCTCAGACACTGGGTTAAAGAAGGAAGGGCTTTACTCTGCCAGGAGCATCGGCACACTTGCGCCTGAAGAGCCAAGCTCCCCGAAAACGAAATTCCTGGCCCTTTTAAGGGTTTACAACTCTAAGGGGTTTACGTGAAAGGGTTGTGATAGATCGAGGAAGCATGGGGAACGTGACTGGGGGCTACACGCATCAGATAACAGAACAGAAAGTTTTGCAGGGCTTCCTCATACAGTGTCTGGAATTTACAGATAACACAAGTAGTTTAGGTCAGGGGTTAATATTATTATTATTATTATTTTAACCACCAGGGTCGGGTGGTGCTGCCAAGATCATCTAGCTATTTATCTTACTTCTGTTTTTTTTTTTTTTTTTTTAAGCTTTTTGCTTTCTCCCTTTTTCCCTGTTTTATAAACTAAGGAAGCGGTGTGGGGAAGGGAAGGGCAGCAGGAGGAGTGGTGGTCTCCTTCCTTAGGATTACAAGCACCGGGCCTCATTCCTGGCTAACGTTTTTTGTTTTTTTTTTGTATTTGTATTAGAGATGGGGTTTCACCATGTTGGCCAGGCTGGTCTTGAACTCCTGACCTCAGGTGATCGCCTGCCTTGGCCTCTGAAAGTGCTGGGATTAAAAGCACAAGGCAGCTGGGTGCGGTGGCTCAGGCCTGCAATCCTAGCACTTTGGGAGACCGAGATGGGTGGATCACGAGGTCAGGAGATCGAGACCATCCTGGCTAACATGGTGAAACCCCGTCTCTACAAAGAAATACAAAAAAAAAAAAAAAAAAATTACCTGGGCGTGGTGGCGGGCGCCTGTAGTCCCAGCTACTCAGGAGGCTGAGGCAGGAGAATGGCGTGAACCCGGGAGGCAGAGCTTGCAGTGAGCCGAGATAGCGCCACTGCACTCCAGCCTGGGCGACAGAGCGAGACTCCGTCTCAAAAAAAAAAAAAAAAAAAGCACAAGCCATCGCGCCCAGCCATGTGTTGGCAATTTAATCCCCGAATTCATGTCCTGATTGGAGATATGGCCTTTGGGAGGCAATTAGGATTAGATAATGTTATTAGGTTGGGTCCCCAGTCATGGGACTCGTGGCTTTATAAGATGAGGAAGAGAGACTGGAGCGGACACGCAGTCTTGCCCTCTCCTCCCTCGCCCGCACACTCTTGCTCTCCCCTCCCCTGCCATGTGCAGCCCTCCACTGGGCTGTGATGCTCTAGGCCTCCCCAGCCACCAGAACTTGCCCTCCCCTCCCCGGCCATGAGTGGACACGGACTCCCGCCCTCCCGCCATGTGCCGCCCTCCACTGGGCTGGGATGCTCTGGGCCATGTGCTGCCTGGGGTCCAGGGGCCGTTAGTCTCCGCCGCTCCTCGGCCTCGTGGGCCCGGGCGCTGGGTGGGGCCGCGGGTGGGCGTCAGGGGCCAGGCTGGGCGCCGAGGTCTGCAAAGGGGCGGAGAAGACGGGCTTGGGCTCCGCGGAGAGACTGCCAGGGGGCGGCGGTGCACCTCCCACCCGGGTCACCTCGGTGCCACGCATGCCTGCCTCAGTGCAGGCGGACCCACGGCCCTCCACGCCCTCCCTCGCTCGCGTGCTGCCCGGCTGGCCGCTGTTCGCATCCTCTCGCTAACTCCGTGGGGTCCCGCCCATTCGGGCGACTGCCCCGGCTGCAGCCCACCCGCTAATCTCGGCTATCTTCCCTCACTCAGTTCTTCGCCTCCACCAGCTTCGGCTCTTTTCGTCACCCCTCTTTACTCCTCGTTCCTCTCCGTCACTTTCCGTCATCTCCGATTAGGCTCGGCCGGCTGCATCTCACCATTTCGCTTTCCTCTTTGTCGCCCTCTGATAAATTTCGTGACTCTTCGTCACTGTCCGTCAGTCCCCGTCACTTTCCGTCAATTCTCGCCACTTTCCGTCACTCTCCGCCGCCCTTCAGCTCCGCTCGGCTCTTCTCCGTCAGACATCGTCTACTTTCGTCACTCTCCGTCACCCTCCGTCACTCTCCGTCTGCTCCCTACCCCGCACTCCGGGTGGAGAAAGCCTCAGGGGGTCCCGACAGGAGGAGCGGCAGTCTGGGGGTGGCGCTGAGGGAAGGAGCAGTCGCGTGGTCCGGAGGACAGGAGCAGGGAGTCTGGGGGTGGTTTCGTGGGGAGGAGCAGGGGGTCTGGGGGTGGTTCCCAGGGGAGGAGCGGGGGTCTGGGGGTGGTCCTGAGGGGAGAAGAGGGGGGTTACTGGGCGTGGTTTCGTGGGGAGGAGCAGGGGGTCTGGGCGTGGTCCCGAGGGCAGGAGCGGGGGTCTGGGGGTGGTCCCGAGGGGAAGCGTGGGGGTCTGGGGATGGCGCCGAGGGAAGGAGCTGTCTGGTGTGGTCCGGAGGACAGGAACAGTGGATCTGGGGGTGGTCCTGAGGGGAGGAGCGGGGGTCTGGGGGTGGTCCCGAGGGGAAGCGTGGGGGTCTGTGGGTGGTCCTTAGGGGAGGAGCGGGGGTCTGGGGGTGGTCCTGTGGGGAGGAGCAGGGGGTTCTGGGGGCGGTCCTGATGGGAGGAGCGGGGGTCTGGGGATGATCCTGAGGGGAGGAGCTGGGGTCTGGGGATGGCGCCGAGGGAAGGAGCTGTCCGGTGTGGTCCGGAGGACAGGAACAGTGGATCTGGGGGCGGTCCCGTGGGGAGGAGCAGGGGGTCTGGGGGTGGTTTTCAGGGATGGAGCATGGGGCCTCCCTGTGGTCCAGAGGGTGGAGCAGGGAGTCTGGGGGTGGTACTTATGGGCGGGACAGCACTATTTCTCTTTTTGGTCCGGTTCCCATCTGCTGATCTGGGGGTCCTTGTGATCCTGACAGGTGGGGCAGAATGGGAGGGTCAAGGTGAGGGGAAGGGATATTGACAGGAGGTCAGAACTTCAAGATCCTCTTGAATTTCAAGAACTACTTCCAAGCCTGGACAATATCGAGAGGCCTCATCTCTACAAAATAAAAATTAAGAAATTCGCTGGGTGCGATGGCACACTCCTGTAGTCCCACCTACTCTGGAGGCTGAGGAGGGAAGATAACTTGAGCCTGGGAGTCCGAGGCTGCAGTCAGCTGTGATCATGCCACTGCACTCCAGCCTGGGTGACAGAGCAAGACCCTGAAAAAAAAAAGGGAGGGAGGGAAGGAGGGAGGGAGGGAGGAAGGAAGGGAAGGGAGGGAGGAAGGAAGGAATGAAGGAAGAAAATGGCTTAAGCTCAGAGAGCTGTATGTGGCCCCCAGCTCCCACCCCCACCAGAGGGCCTGCAAACCCACGGAGGGGCAGGTTGTCTTGAGCTGGAACCACAGGGGCGGGGGGACCTCAACTGTAGGGGTTAGGGTTAGGGTTAGGCTTTGAGGTTTCGGGTTACAGAATATAGATGGGTTTGGTCCTGGGAAAATTCCAGGTTGAGTTTTGTAGTTGGGGGTTGGTCTCAGGTGAGATACGGCAGGTTTACTTGGGCCTGAAGAGCCGAGCTCCCCGAAAACGAAATTCCTGGCCCTTTTAAGGGTTTACGACTCTAAGGGGTTCACTTGAAAGGGTCGTGATAGATCGAGCAAGCATCGGAACGTGACTGGGGGCTACACGCATCAGATAACAGAACAGAAAGTTTTGCAGGGCTTCCTCATACAGTGTCTGGAATTTACAGATAACACAAGTAGTTTAGGTCAGGGGTTAATATTATTATTATTATTATTTTAACCACCAGTGCCGGGTGGTGCTGCCAAGGTCGTCTAGCTATTTATCTTACTTCTGTTTTTTTTATCTTTTTGCTTTCTCCCTTTTTCCCTGTTTCATAAACTAGAGAAGGGGGTGTGGGGAAGGGAAGGGCAGCAGAAGTGGCGGTCTCCTCCCTTAGGATTACAGGCACCCTGCGTTAACCTCAAAATTGTCTCAGTCCCAAAGAAGGGGCTAGATTTTCTTTTATACTTTTGTTTAGAAAGGGGAGTGGCGGTCTAGTTAAAAGAATTTTACATAAGTAAATCAGGCAAAATGTTAAAAGGATAAATGGTTACAGGAAAGTAAACAGTTCCAGGTGCAGGTGCTTTAAGACTATTACAAGGTGATAGACGCGGGTAATTGGGCGTTATCAATCGGACGAATTCCTGGGGACTGCGGATGTAGCTCGCCACAGTAGGTTGTCAGTTAATTGCATTCTCGGATGTCCTGGGAGTCAGCTTGCACGAGTTAAGTCTTTGAGGAAGGGGCTGCCAGTGAAAGAGCCAAGATGGAGTCTGTCCGGTTCTCTCAGTTAAGGGAGAGTCCTTTCAGGTGGAAAGAAGGCTAGGTGATTGAAGGAAAGGGAGAGTCTAAAAACAGGGTTAGCAAAAATGAGGTTGGGCATTACAGTTGTACCCTCCATCGCCTCTTCCAATCTCAAGCAATTCCATAACTTGGAAAACCTCAGGCAAGGACTTCCTGGAATATGTCCACTGTAACGACCAGGTTTTCCAGTGTGTTATCTACACCCTGTAACGCTGTTAGGTACATAATGTTTCAGCAATCTTTGTTCTTCACCAGCACTCTGAGTACATGAAAAAGGCCAAGATGCTTCTTCAGGGATGAATTTTGCTACTTTTTAAAGGAGACTTAAGAGGCACTTTTGGCACTCTAAGTCTTTCTTCAAATGATGAAATTTGTTACCTATTTAACTCATTGCTGTGACGCGTTTTCCAATTCTATGTTCCCTTGGTTTTTGTTGTATTTTTTTCTGCATGAACTCTACATCATTTACTCACTCTGAACGACAGAATAAAAGAAATTGGCCACCATATCATACTCGGAAGGACAATCATGGCCATGAGACACAAAGGACTCCCAGCCCTGGGCCCAGGCCCCCCTCACGCATGCAGCCATCGCGGCACTGTGCCTGAGTGGGCCATATGCATGGTGGGGACCCGATGCTGGGAGACACAGCTCAGGGCACAGGGGCCCCAAGAAGCCATAGCTGGGGAAAGCTCATTCCCGACAGGGCTCAGCTCCAACCTGAAACTAGAGTCCCACCCTGGGGTTTCCATGGTGGTGGTAAACCAACCACAGATTTTGGGGATATGACTGCTCCCTTTGCCACGATAGCTTCTTCCACGTGCCCCTGGCCTGATGACCAGACCACTAGAGAGGGGAGGCCCGAGTCCCAGGGATGGGTGGGTTGCAGGCAGAGCTGGGGCTGGATGGACGGTGAGTGGTGAGAGCTCAAGGTGCAGAAGGGGCTCCTGTCGGGGACTGGGTTAACAGGGACCGGGACAAATAGACGGGGACTCCCGAGATGAGAAAGACCTTTTCGTACAAAGTGTTTGCATCAGTACCTCACAATGAAAAGAATAAGATAAATAACAGTACAAAAAAGCAATCACCAGATCAGCTCAAGGCACTCTTTGAAGTCCCCCCTGTGTAGGGAAGTTGGAAGACATATCTGTGTGGCCCATAGAGAGTAGATCCCAAAGACAGAAGGCCCAAGTCCCTAAATCCCCACAGGGGAACTGTGTTACAGACCAGGAGCTCATGTACAGGGCTGTCCCAGGGCCCCTAAATTCCAGAAGGGAACTGGGTTAGAGTCCAGGGGCTCATGCAACGGGCTGTCCCTGGTCCCCTAAATCCCCACAGGGGAACTGGGTTAGAGATGAGGAGCTCATTTTCCGGGCTGTCCAGGTCCCCTAAATCCCAGATGGGAACTGGGTTATCAACCAGGTGCTCTTCTAGGGGTTGTCTCAGGGTCCTAGTGTGTCTGGAATTGGTGGGTTCTTGGTCTCACTGACTTCAAGAATGAAGACGCGGAACCTCGCGGTGAGTGTTACAGTTCTTAAAGGTGGCGCGTCCGGAGTTTGTTTCTTCTGATGTTCAGATGTGTTCTGAGTTTCTTCTTTCTGGTGGGGTTGTGGTCTCACTGGCTCAGGAGTGAAGCTGCAGACCTTTGCGGTGAGTGTCACAGCTCATAAAGGCAGTGTGGACCCAAAGAGTGAGCAATAGCAAGATTTATTGCAAAGAGTGAAAGAACGAAGCTTCCACAGTATGGAAAGGGACCCCATTGGGTTGCCACTGCTGGCTCAGGCAGTCTGCTTTTATTCTCTAATCTGCTCCCACCCACATCCTGCTGATAGGTCCACTTTCAGAGGGTTAGGGTTAGGGTTAGGGTTAGGGTTAGGGTTAG